>NC_000002.12:149913860-150216890 GCF_000001405.40 Homo sapiens
AAGATATAAGAATGTGAATAACCACTTGAAAAGTTGTTAATGTTATTAGTCATGAATAAAATGCAAATTAAAGCTAAATTGAATTACCAGTTTACATCCACTAGATTGGCCAAAATTAAAGATTCATATTACCAAGTGCTGACAGGGATCCAGAGAAACTGGAACTTTTATACTTTGCTGGTGAGGTTGTAAAATAGTATAACCACATGGAAAACAGTCTGGCAGTTTCAAATAAAGTTAAAAATATCTATACCATTCAATCCAGAAATGTCACTTCTATGTATTTACCCAAGAGAAATGGAAACATATATCCACACAAAGACCTGTATGCAAGTGTTCATAGTTACTCTATTTGTAACAGAAAAAAAAAAAAAAAAAAAAAAAAACAGAAGGAACCCAAATGTTCACTTGGTAAATGCATAAAAAATATGGTTTATTTATACAATAAAATATTACTCAGTAATGCAAAGAAATTTTAGTTGACAAAATAACGCAAATGAATCTCACAAGCATTAGGATGAATAAAAGACTCCAGACCCAAAAGGCTTCATGATATATAATTCCATTTATATGAAATTGTGGGAAAGACAACATTTTAGAGTAAAATTGTTGCCTGGGGTCAGAGGTGGGGAGAGAATTGTTGCAAGGAAGCATGAGAGAACTTTTTGAGATACTGGAAATATTCTCTATCTTTATTATGGTTACACAAATATAAATATAAAATTATGTATTTATAAAAGTGCTGAATTTTACAAGTATTTGTCAAAAATTCTTTATATTACACAAACATTGTCAAAAATATGTCTTGTACTACACGCATTTATATTATACAAACATCTATTACATATAAATATCACCTTATGTGCCAGATTGTAAAAAAAAAAAATGCAAGGTTTGTCACATTGCAGCATATTGTTAATTCAGAAATTAGTTACATGTGCCCTTAATGCTTCAGAGCAAGGAGATCACCACAGTCCCTGTGCTAGAGAGGATTTCAGTCCAGAAAATGAACCTGAGATGTATTCTAAGGAATGTGAAAGACTCAGAGAGGCAAAGTGGAAGAGAGAGATCATTCTGCCTCATCTTCCTCCAAATATTCTCCACACTTCTAAAGAGATCTCTTTTGATAATCCAACAAACTCAGGCATGTCACTCTCCTGCTACAAATCCACAGTTCTCCATCAGCTTGAGGATCGGATCCCATCCAAACTCCTCAGCATGGCATGCACTGTACTGATGACCTGGCTCATGTCCATCTTGAGGTCTATTTCCAACAGCACTACCTTCACTTCCTGAATTATCGATAAGTCAACATGCCCAGTCAGCAGCCCTGCCTGGGCCCTGCTCAGAGCATCAGTGTGCCAGCCTTCAGGCTGTGGAGCCTGGGAAGGCAGGAAAAACAAAGCTGCCAAGTCAGAATTCTTGGTAGGAAGTGAGACAGATTATCTAACAAGGAATTCAGAATGGCATCAAAAGAGACAATGAGTCCCACAATGTGGGCCTCTAGAGAGAATTCTGGCTCAGAGGATTTTAACAGGAACCTCATTAATAAAACGAGCGTACTGGAGGAGGGTGGAGATATGAGCCAAAAGGTCAATTCAAAAGCTCCTATTCCAGGTCAGCACAGCAAAGCCATTCAAACCCAGAGAGTGAGGCAGTGTAGCCCAGTGGCTAAGAGCACAATTTCCAAGACTCTGAACTCTACCTTTCCACTGTAATGACTATGCTATGTTGGGCAAGTAATTAACCTTTCAAAGCCTCAATTTTTAATCTGTGTAGTGATTAAATGCAATAATACATATGAAACTATTAACACAATGGTTGGCAAATGGCAAGTTCTGAGTAAATGATGTCCGCAAGTGTTAAGAAAAGTAACTGAAGCAACTTGAGTACTTCTTTACTCTAGAAGGGTCATTTGAAAGGTGGGAAGTTCCTAAACTCACCTGTGGAGAATGGGATAATGTAGCAGTCAAATGAATTAAAGTCATGTCTAGATGATGTAAAACTAGAAACAGTGAACAAGAAACGATGGGCTACAAAAGCTTGGATGAATCCCTTTACCTCTCTGGACCTCAGTTTCTTGTTTGTTTAGTTTTTTACCTATAAACCTGGATTTGATGATATTTTACAAAGCTTCCAGCTCTAACATGTTATGACTCTACAAAAAGAGATGGATTGTTGAATTATGACAAGAGTACTCTTTCATTTTATATGACCTTAGCAAAGAATGATGCCCTCAAATGATCTGACATTTTCCAGTTCTAACTTGCTTCATTAATTTAGGATTGAAGCAATAACATGATTGACAGTGAAATTGAAATTGAAATTAGCACATAAATTATACAGAAATGTGTTAATTTGGTATAGCAAAGTTTGGGATAATAGTTTTGCTGGAGAATATTTATGCAGTGGTTAAAAGCATACTGAATCACTTCTAAAGAGGGTATTTTCAATAAAAGGATGTCTAGGAAATGACTTCAACAGGATGATGAGATGAGAACTTATTATTGTCATCCCTCTGCAGAAGTATCAATCTTGACAACTACTCACACATAGAGTGCCATTGTGGGAGTCCAGGAGTCCAGTAGAGAAATTCCAGAACACTGTTGGAGCAAAACATTGAAGAATAGATACATTGAAGAGGGTAAAAAGAACATTTTCACTTTACCTGCATTACATGTCCCCCAAGGTGGCTCTGTTGAGTGCCAAGAGAGAACTCTTTGACCTACAATTTCTCTGACAGGGGAAAGTGAGAGCATAGTGAGTGAGTACTCAGCTTCCCCAGATGTGTGGAACACTGCCCAAGAGGCCCAATGTTTTTTCTCATCTTATCCAGGAAACTGAGCATGAATTAGGAGATGCTGGGTACAGGACAGACAGGACAGAAACCCTAACTTCTCCACCAACTCCATCAGGAAGCTCACTCACAAGCCACTTGGGGCACCTCACCCATGGACCCTCCAACTGGCCCATAGGCACTCCAAATATTTTATATGTCTCACTTCCTCTGCCCCCAGCCTGGTTCCTCAAGTGTAACTTCCCTGAAATTACATTTATATCTTGTAAAGCTAGAACAATGAACAAGGAACAATTGTTCCCTGAGTGTGTTCTCATGAATGGTGAGTGCAAGTATCTTATATAGACACCCAACTCAGCTCTGTGGGATTGGAAAAAACCACACAAACTTAAGGATTTCAAGACACCACTGGGGAAAGCAAACAGGAGGCTGTCAACACCTGGCTTGGCTTTTTATGACCTAAAGAAGACAGAGAATCTAAAGAATTAATCCCCAAGAGGGAACAAGAGGTATGCAGCAGGTACACTCACAGAAAAGATGTGAGCTAGTCTCAGCATCCCTAGCTGGGCTAATTGGTGAAGATGTTTCTCTCCTGAATCCAGTCAGTAAAAACTGAAGGAGATGACTACTTCTTCAAACATGAAGATAGCAATGTAAGACTTTAAGGAACATGAAAAATCAATGGAAGAGGATACCATCTAAGAGGCAAAATAATATTTAAGTAATTACTCCCACAGAGGTGGAGATCAAGAAACTGCCTGACCAAAAGTTAAATATAATTGTTTTAGGGAAACTCAGTGAGCTAGATGAGAACACCAATAGACATCTCAACAAAATTAAAAAAACACATCAAAAGTAAAAGTTTTAGTAAAAAGATATAAAAAAATCAGAAATTTTTGAGCTGAAGAATGCAATGGATTAATATGAAAAATGCAATAGAACATCAACAGCTGACGTGATCAAATAGAAGAATCTGTGAACTTGAAGATAGGTCACTTGTATTCCATCAGAGGAGAAAATAGAAAAGAGAATGAAAAAGAATGAAGAAAGATTATTGGATTTATGATACACCATCAACAAAGCTAACTTTTACATTATGAGTATTCCAGAAAGATAAGGAATAGATAAAGGGGCAGAAAGCTTATTTAAAGAAATAATGGATTAAAACTTCCCAAATCTGGGGAAAGATATTGACATCCAGGTATATGAAGCTTAAAAGCCTCTAAATAGATTCAACTTTTAAGAAGCCTTGATGGGATATATTATAATCAAAGTGTCCAAAATCAAAGGCAAAGAGAATTTTGAAAACAGCAAAGGAAGGTGGCTTATAACATACAATGAAAGCTTCATTAGGCTAGCAACAGACTTTTTTTAAGCAGAAATTTTGCAGTATGGGAAAGTGAGACGATATATTCAAAGTGCTACAGGTTAACAAATTGACAATCAAAAATACTTTATCTGACAAAGCTGTCCTTCAGAAATAAAGGAGAGATAAAGACATTCCCAGACAAATAATACATGCCAAGGGGTTCATCACTACTGGACATGCCTTATAAGAAATGCTACAGGGTATTGTTCAGGCTGAAATAAAAGAATGTTAATTAGTACCATGAAAACATATGAAAGTTTAAAACTCACTAGTAAAGATAAGTATATAGTCAAATTCAGAGCACTCTAATACTGTAATGGTGGTATGTAAATTTTATTTGGGATGATGAAAATGTTTTGAAAATGAATAGTGGTGATGGTTTTGCAACATTGTTAATGCATTTGATGCCACTGAATTTGAATAGTCAATAATTATTAAAATTAGAATTTTATGTATATTATACCACAATAAAACACTAAAAAAAAACTTGTAACTCTAGTATAAAAATTAAAAGCAAAAAGTATCCAAAATAACCATTAGCTGCAGTAATTTGTTGAATACACAATATAAAAAGATGTAAATTGTGACATCAAAAACATAAAATATGGGGAAGAGGAGGATTAAAAGTGTAGTTTTGGGATGAGATAAAAAAGTTATTAGATTAAAATAGACTGTTATAACTATATGATAGCTTCTGTAAGCCTCACTGTAACCACAAAGCAAAAACATATAGAGGCACAAAAGATAAAGAGAAAGGAATCAATGCATACCACTACAGAAAATTATCAAAATACAAAGACAGCAAAAGAAGAAAAAAAGAACAAAGGATTTACAATACAGCCAGAAAACACTAAACAAAATGACGATACTAAGTTCTTATCTTTCAATCATTACATTACATGTGTATTGATTAACTTCTCTCATCTAAAGGCATGAAGTGGCTGTATGGAAAAAAATAAGACAACACTCAACTATATGTTGCCAATAAGAGACTCAGCTGAGCTTTAAGACCACATATAAAATGACAGTGAAAGGATAGAAAAAATATCCTATGAAAATGGAAACCAAAAGAAATCAGGGGTAGGAATATAAGTATCAGACAAAAATATTTTAAGTCCAAAACTGTCACAAAAGACAAATAAGGCTATCGTATAATTATAAAGGGGTAAATTTATCATGAGGATAGAACAATTATAAGTATATATGTATCTAACATTGGAGTAACTAAATATATAAGACAAATATTAAAAGATCGGAAGGGATAAACAGCAATACAAAATAGTAGGGGGCTTCAATTCTCCACTTTCAGCAATAGATAGACTATTCAAACAGAAAACTAATAAGGAAATATTGGACTGGAACTACACTTTAGATGAAATAGATCTAGCAAACTTATTTAGAAGATTCCATCCAACAGCAACAGAATACACATTATTCTCAAGAGCACATGGAACATTTTTTTCAGAATAGATCACATGTTAAGCCATCACACAAGTATTAAATTTAACAAGATTGAAATCATATGAAATATTGTTTTTGACCACAATTATGTAAAACTAGAAATCAATAGGATAAGGAAAACTGGAAAATTCACAAATATGTGGATATTAGATAATACGCTTCTGAACAACCCAAAGGGCCTAAGAAGAAATCAAATGGGAAATTCTTAAAAATGTTGAGAAAAACTAGGGTGGAAATACAACATATTAAAACTGAAGAGATGCAGGAAAAACAGTTCTAAATGGGAAGTTTATAGTAATTAATGCTTACATGAAGAAAAAAAAATCTCAAATAAACATTCATCCTAATTTTATACCTCAAGAAAGTTGAAAAAGAACAAACTAAGCCCCGCGTTAGTAGGGAAAAGATAATAACAAAAATCAGAGCAGAAATAAATGAAATAGAGACTAGTAGAACAATAGAAAAAATTTAAAAACCAAGACCAGGGTTTTTGAAAATGTAAACAAAATCAACAAATCTTCGGCTAGACTGAAAAGAAAGGGAAGACTCAAATAAATAAAACTAGGAATGAAACAGGAGACATTACAACTGCCACCACAGAAATACAAAGGATGAGCGACTACTATGAACATTTTATGCCAACAAATTGGATACACTGAAATAAATGGATAATTCCAAGAAACATATAACCTAGTGAGACTAAATTATGAAAAAAACAGAGAATCAGAACAGATCAATTATAAGTAAGAATATTGAATCAGTAACCAAAAATCTGCCAACAAAGAAAAGCCCTGATGGCTTCACTGTTGCATTCTACCAAATATTTGAAGAATTGATATCAATTCTTCTCAAATTCTTCCAAAAAATTGAGGGGGAGGGAAAACTTCCAAATTCATTTAATGAGTCCAGCATTACTGTGCTATCAAAGCCAGACAAGAACACTGAAAAAAAAAAAAAAGAAAAATACACGTCGATACCCTGATGATAATAGATGTAAACATCCTCAACAAAAAACTGGCAACAATTCAATGACAGATTATATCATATAGCATGATCAAGAGCTATCTATCCCTGGGATGCAAGGATGGTTCAATATACACAAATCAATAAATGTGATATACCACATTACCAGAACAAAGCTTAAAAATTATTTTCTCAATAAAAGCAGAGAAAGCATTTGAAAAAGTTCAATATCCTTCTATGATGCACCTCTCAAAAAATTAGTTACAGAAGGAATGTATCTCAACACAATAAAGGTCGTAATGGAAAGCCCACAGCCAACATCATATCAAATGGTAAAAAGCTAAAAGTGTTATCTTTAAGGTCAAGGGATAAGACAAAAATGCCCATTAGGCAAAATAAATAAATACAATAAATAAAAGACATCCACATCATATGGGAGAAAGCTGAATCATCTTTGTTTGTATATGATATACCCTTCACCAAAAAACTGTTAGAACTAACAAATGAATTCAGTAAAGTTGTAGGATAAAAAGTTAACATACAAAAATCAGTAGCATTTTTATATACAACCAAAAACTATCCAAACAAGAAATTAAGAAAACAATTCCATTTACAATAGCATCAAAAAGAATAAAATTCTTAGGAATAAATTTAACCAATGAGGTGAATGATCTGTACACTGAAAACAGTAAACATTGATGAAAGAAATTCAAGAAGACATAAATAAATGAAAAGATTTTCCATATTTATGGATTAACAGAATTAATTTTATCAAAATATCTATACTACCAAAAGTGGTCTACAGAGTCAATACAATCAATACCAAAATTCAAATGACAGTTTTCACAAAAATATTTTAAACATATTAAAATTTGCATGGAACCACAAAAGACCCTGAATATCTAAAGTAATCTTGAACAAGAACAATGCTAGAAACATTATACTTCCTGATTTAAATTACATTACAAAGCTATAGTAATCAAAATAGTATGATACTGACATAAAAACACACAGACCAATGCAACAGAATAGAAAGCTCAAAAATAAGTCCTCACATACATAGTCAACTAATTTTTGACAAAGGGTCTGAGAATGCACAATGAGAAACGTAAGGTCTCTTCAAAAATGTTGGTGGAAAAACTAGATGTCCATATGCAAATAAATAAATAAATAAATTTGATCCTTATCTTCTATACACAATAGTCAGCTCAAAATTGATGAAAGATTTAAACATAGTACCTTAAACTATAAAACTCCTGGAAGAAAATATAGAGAAAAAGCTCTATGACATCTGTTTGGCAAAGATTTTGGGGGATATGACATTAAAAGCATAGGCAACAAAAACAAAAATAAGCGAGTAGAATTGCATCAAACTAAAATATTTCTGTGTAGCAAAGGAAACAATCAGCAAAGTAAAAAATGAACCTACAGAAGGAGAAAATATTTGCAAATTATACATTGGCTGAGAGGTATATCCAAAATATATAAGGACTGTATATAATTCAATAGCAATAAACAACAAGAACAACAAATAACCTGAACTTAAAATGTTCAAGGGACCTGTATGAACATTTTTCCAAAGAAGTCATACACATGGCCTGATATATGAAAAGGTGACTAACATCACTAGTCATCAGGGAAATGTAACTCAAAACCTCAATGAGGTATCATCTCACACCTGTTAGGATGACTGTTATCAAAAAACCAAAAGATAAACAATTATTGCAAGGATATGGAGAAAAGGGAACTCTTACACATTGTTGGTGGGAACTTAAATTGGTACAGCCATAATGAAAAATGGTTTGGAATTCCCTCAAAAAAATTTAAAAAGAAATACCATATGACCCAGAAATCTCACTTCTGGGTGAATATCCAAAGGATATAAAATTACTGTCTCAGAGATCTGCACACTCATGTGTCACATGCATGAACCTGGAGGATATTACGTTAAATGAAATAAGCCAGGCACAGAAAGACAAACACTGCTTTATCTCACTTACGTAGAATCTAAAACAGGCAAACTTAGGGAAACAGACAGTAGAATAGTGGTTGCTAGGGTAAACAGGCTAGGGGAAATAGTTGCTGGTTGAATGCTACAAACTTTCAGTTATAATAGGGATAGGATCTGGAGACCTATCATATGGCATAGTGACTATAGCTGATAATATATTGTATACTTGAACTTTCCTAAGAGCACATATTTTAAGCATTTTCACCACACACACAAAAGGTAACTGTGAAGTGATGGATATATTAATTAACTTGATTGTGGGGATCATTTCACAATGTATATGTATATCAAAACATCATGTTGTACGCCATAGGTATGTTCAACCTTTGTCAGTTTTACCTTAATAAAGTAGGGGGAGGAAAGATTATATCAGTTTGGCTTAAACCAATTTATTTTAATGAAAATAGTACTAATTGAGGAGAAATTTTCTGTATTTATTAAAGACTTTATTCTAACACATAGAACTCAGTAAATGAGTCCTTTTGCTTTCTTCTTTTCCTTCTCATTCTGTAACAGTTCCCTGCCTAGTAGCATTGAAGTCTTCAGAACATATTAGTTTACATGACCTACTGCTTTGCTGAGCTCTTCTGCAAAAGGAAGAGAAGTTTCAGGAATGAGCTTAAGTGACCAAAAGCCCCTTCCCAGGATTCAGCTGGGATCTGCAAACCATCAGAACTCTCCAGTAGGGGCTGTGAGCTAAAGCTTGGTCAAATCCAACTTTCCTAAACTTTGGAAGAGATGGTCTGCAGAACTCTAACACAGAGTTATATTTTTACTGCTTAGGGAATCAATCACTTTTGTTTAAATGCTTTCCATAAAGATTAGTTACCAATGTACTTCTCTAATAGCCAAGAAAATTTACAAGAGCATGGAATATAGTAAAGAAAATCTGATACTAGTAAATTAAAAAAATAATGATTTCTCTGTTTCAGGAATATCTGTTGTTATTACACATTCAAAATAAGATAAAAATACTGGATCTTCTTCTCAGTTGAAGGCTTTTGTCACTGTGTTCACAGAAATTTAGCTGAGGAAAGTCTCTTAAGACGTATGTGGTTATGTATAGAAAAAACAATACTTGGTATAATGTAATTACATGGTAATATCATGGTGCTCTTAACTAGCTAGCAGGGCATAATGATGCTTATTAACGACACATAGGAAACATCGTGGCACAGAACAATGGGAGAAATCTTTTTCAGTTTGACCTCAAGAAAGAAAAGAAAGGGATTCAAAATATCCATTTCATCAACTACGCAGAGGAAAGAGAGAATGTCACTTGTAGTAAGAACCAAAATTTACATATTTGATGGGGTTAATATCCAAAATATACAAGGAATTTATACAACTGAATAGCAAGAAAACAAATAACCTGTTTAAAAGCTGGTAGATCTGCAGGGTCAAATAAAATAACAAAAACTTCCTCAAAAATCAACAGGAAAAAATCAGGAAGTCCAAATTTTATATAAGAATGATGGAAAGAAATGAAGCCTTCAAAAAGAGAGCACTCACAGTGAGTTTTGAGCACAGGCAGGGGCAAAGATTAAGGATTGTATAAATATTATCACCAGGGACCTAAAACGTGAAAACAAAGACCTATCACAAAATGAAAAACTACAGACAGTATAGGACTCACAGGAGAGGATCAGCAGCAAGGGAAACAAGGTAACATGGGGTACGGAGGTTTTCATACAAAATCCATCCCTCACCCACCAAGGAGCAAGCAAAGATTCATTCCAATGTATTGAATAAGATTTTTAGTCATGGTGATTGTGACTAAGTTAATGAATAATAAAGAGCTAGTCTGGTCTCACTGGGGAGGGAGATCAGGCATTTGTATATGAGGGAGATTTCTGAAACTGTAATCAACTCTAGAAAGATTATCTAGTCGCAGTTTTTTTGTTATTGTTTTTTGTGGGTTTTTATTATTATTATTTTTTTTGGTTTTGGTTTTGTTTTGTTTTTTTTTTCTGAGACAGAGTCTTGTTCTGTCCCCCAGACTGGAGTGCAGTAATACAGCCATGGCTCACTGCAACCTAGAACTTTCAGGCTCAGGCAATCCTCCTACTTCAGCTTCCCAAGTAGCTGGGACTACAACTACATGCCACCACTCCTGGCTAATTTTTAAAATTTTTTTGTAGAGATGAGGTCTAGCCATGTTCCCCAGGCTGGTCTCGAACCCCTGGACTCAAGTGATCCACCCTCCTGGCTCTCCCAAAGTGCTGGGATTACAGATGTGAGCCACTGTGTTCCACCTAATGGCAGAAATTCTTAAATAAGCCCAATGGAGTTTTTGTGTATAGATGAGTCACCCCATGAGCATACCTGAGTAACAATAAATGCTATAAAAATGCTCTTTTCTAGTTTTGCAAATGAGGCATGTGTATTTAGGGCTAGAGACAAATTGCAGGGATCACAGAGAAGGTATCACCAGTGGTTTCCTTTCTCTAATCTTCCTTCATACTAAATAAAATATTGAACAAATATTTTACAATATCTACTTGAAGTTGTACCAGGGTATTAGTCTGTCTGAGGTACCTGTGTGTCTCTGTGTAGTGCATGGAAAATATAAACTGCTCTCAGTGCAAAACTTGGGTGAGTCACTCTCAAAAAACACTTGATCATCGTCATGAAGATTTTTATGTCAAAAATTTCTTAGAGGTCTTGCTTAGATCCCTTCCAGTGCGATCAGGGTGAAGTCTCCCTGATTAGCAGAGTCAGGATTCTAGCACCCCAAAAAAGTCAACTCAGATAAAAAAGCACTATTTACAGACTGTTTCCTTCTGGATAAATTATAGCTTCCATTTGCATTTCATAACACTAAACATACCAGCACTGATTCTATTAATCATGTTCTTTTAAAAAGGATAAATATCTTGATAATCTCTTATCTAGAAGAGGGAAATATCTAGTATATCTGATGGCCAATTTATACAACCTGTTTCCAATATCTAGTTGATAAAAGATGTCAGTAATAAATTATTTGTTTCTACAAAGGCTTTAGTAAACATATTGCTATGAGCCTGTATGTGTATGTGTGTACATGTGTAGCACTATACATTGTAAAAGAACATGAGCTTGCATACAGGATTACATGTTACAGAACAATGCCCTAAATAATTAAAAACAACACAATAATTATATTATGCTTAACATGGTAGTGTATTTCAAGTTACTGTAATCTTCACAGGCCATCCTTTTGTATGTAACCAGTGGGAAACCCACTTACTCTAGGTGGGCTTAGCACCCCACTTTGACAGGGTTTCTGCCCTCTGCGTGCCAGGCTTCCCAAATGACCAGAATATGGCCATCTCTATGAATTTCCTCTTCAGATAGCTAGGAAGTTTCTGCTAGGCATATATATGAAACTGCCTCAGAAGCTCCAAAAGAGAAGGGCTAAAATAAATCTTGGCTGAAATGTAACCAGGTAAACACAGAGATGCTCCAAGGAATCAAGACCAGGAAAAATAGAAGTGCAAGTTCTATTCTTCACTTACGAGAATGAGTGGAAAATAGAACTTGCACTTCTACGAGAAGCTTAATCTTTTCTCTGGTCTCATGCTTATGATCAATGAATGCAGTCTTAGAAAGACACTAGCTTTCCCTACCCCTAGCCCACATTGCCTGAATGTCACAGTGTCTCCAAGTTACTGTCCTCAGTGGAAAACAGGTGGTTCAATTTCACCTACTTCATGGATTTCTAAAAATGAGAATAATAATTCCGGTCTCTATTTACATATAAAAGAGTTCATTAAATTAGACACCATTCCCAGAAAAGAAAAAAAGCCCACAGTCCTGTGGTGTGAGGAAGCAGGCAAGTACTGAGCTCTGCTCGGTTTTGCTTTGCTCAGCTCTGCTCCTCAGATGAGTTTTTCTGTTAAGGGAGTTTTAAGTCTTAGGTTTCACTAGGAAATTTGTAATCCCATGGGAGGAAACAAACTGCAGTGGTTTAAGAGAGCATTCTGAAATTAGACTGACCAGTTCAAATCCAAGCCCTGCTACATCCTAGTTGTTTGACCTGGAACATTTACTTAACCTCAATTTCCTTACCTCTAAAATGTAGATACTCTTAGAGTCTGCCTCTTAGCATTCATATGAAGATTAAATAAAATCGTCCACATAAGATGTTTAGTACAGTACTGGGCACATATCAGAAACTCAATATGTTAATTGCTATAATTATTTTCAACTTGGCAATGGGTTTTTTATTTTTATACTCAGTTTTTAACAATGATTTGAAAATTCCAATAATAAAAAATCTGCAGGCCATGTGCGGCGGCTCATGCCTGTAATCCCAGCATTTTGGGAGGCCAAGACGGGTGGATCACCTGAGGTCAGGAGTTCGAGACGAGCCTGGCCAACATGGTGAAATCCCGTCTCTACTAAAAATACAAAAATTAGCTGGGCATGGTGGCACACGCCTGTAATCCTAGCTACTCAGGAG
This sequence comes from Homo sapiens, assembly GCF_000001405.40. Taxonomy (NCBI): domain Eukaryota; kingdom Metazoa; phylum Chordata; class Mammalia; order Primates; family Hominidae; genus Homo; species Homo sapiens. Next base: position 149,926,906 of record NC_000002.12, read on the forward strand.
GCTGAGGCAGGAGAATTGCTTGAACCTGGGAGGCAGAGGTTGCAGTGAGCCAAGATGGCGCCATTGCACTCCAGCCTGGGCAACAAGAGCGAAACTCCATCTCAAAACAAAAACAAAAACAAAAACAAAAACACTATTTTTAAAAATTATTGTCACTATTTCCTCCATCCAGTAGCTTTTGGGCAAAAAACAAACAAACAAACAAAGACACGTAAATTTGAAATCAGGTTTGAGGCTGCACCAATCTTTTCCAGGAGGAATGAGAGCCAATAAATAGCATATGTTTTTTAATACTATTTTGTTTAATGCAGGTTTTTGATCTAAGTGTAAGAAAAGATTACTTAGTTTTTATTCATGAATGTTTACTTTCTAAATATACTTTAGATTTTATGTCCGCAGTGTAGTTTGGATTTTTTTTCCCATTCAACATAGCATTCACCTTCAAAGCCTGCATGTGAGACACCAGTTTTGTTTAATTTATTGGAATATTTATTTCATAGTCATTGTACCATTTTGTTTGACAACTCCATATAGAAGCACAGAAAAGAAAAATCTGTTTCCTTTATAATGTGCAAAAGCAAGTCATGGCATCAGCAGCTTTTCAGTCGTTTTGAAAATGGCTTGTTTACATTACTCTCGTCTGATACAGGCAGAAAGCTATTCAGGTTTAAAAAATAGTTGTTTTTGCTTCAAAGAAAGGGGATTATATAACTATTTGTGATATAACTAATTAACTTGATCTCAGTATACTTTTTGATAAGGAGAGAAATAGTAATGTTGCAAAAGGCAAGATGTAGGGAATGTCAAGGCACAAGGGTTGCTCCCCTCTAAGTCCTTTCTCTTTGGGGGAGGATCCTACATTTTTGCCCACAAAAGAAAATATTATTGTTACTCTTATTTATTAGATAACCTAGCCTTTGAGTTATTGAACACAATATTTCCTATGTAATATGCATGTATGTGTCTGAGTGTGATATGATTTGCCATGACTGGCACAATTCTTCAGTTGAGATGTGTTATTAAAAAATATAGAGTGGCTATTTCTCATTATTGGCAGTTGACATTGATGGCAGGTACTATAGTTGGAAATTTTGGTAAACTCACTGGAATAAATCCCTAAACCCTGGTAGACTTTAAAATTTACATTTACAGAACCTGAGATCACTTCTGCTACACTGTAAAAGCCCAGCAAAATGCATCAATTACAGAATAACTCGTCTAAAAAGTACTTTGCCAAGCAAATTTCCCCATCTGCTACCCAGCCAACAAGCTGTGTGTAGCCATCATTACTGCCAGCTGCCAGACTAGGGTGTGTCACATCACCTCTTTTCAGAGTGAGAGGAGTGTCACAGCAGCTGGAGATCCTCTGCTTGGTGCTGGCATCGTGTAACTCTTGCCCTCTCAGCTCCTCACCCCTTTGGTCATTCCTGTGGTGATTTGGAGGCTTGCCCATCAATCAACCTGGCTCAGCTGCTTAGGCACTGAAAGGCTGAGTGGACCCAGAACCTTCCATTCCATGCCAGTGTCTTGGATTTCACTCATTTTTTAAATTCATCTATTAGATGTGTATTTATTAAGTCCAAAGTACTCTTCTAGGCATTTGGGGCATTAACAATCAATAAAATAGAAGAAAAAAGGTCCTGCTTTCACAGAGCTTACATTCTAGTGAATTGACATTTCAGTAGTTTCTCTTGATAATCAGGGCATGTATTGGATCACATCTGAATGAGAACTTTTAAAAGATACTAATGGCAAGATCCCTTACAGACTATACAAAAACCTTTTGCTATAAAGTTTGTGAATACTTTGCTAGCTTTTAATTTTGTAATAGTATTAGATCTATAATAGAGTTGCAAAGATTATGGAGATGTCCTGTATACCTTTTATCCAGCTTCCTTGAATGTTAACATCTTACATAACCATAGTAGAATTATCAAAGCTAAGAAATTAACACTAGCACAATACTGTGAAATAAACTATAGACTTTATGTGTGTTTTACAAGCTTTTCCACTAATGGCTGTTTTATTTCTGTTCCGGGATCCCACATAGCATTTCTTTGTCATGTCTCCTTGGCCTCCTCCAATCTATGACAATTCTCATCTTTCTTTGTCTTTCATGACCTTGACCTTTCGAACAGTACTGGCCACATATTTTAGTAGAATGCCTCTTAATGTTGTTTTCATGATATTTTCTCAAGATTAGTTTGAGTTTTGCACTTTAAAGAAAAATACTCAAAAGTCATGTGGCCTTCCCACTTCATCATATTAGAGGAGTGCATGTTGCCAGTGTATCTTCTTATTGGTGATGTTAACCTTGATTACTTGAATAAGGGCTTGTCGGACAGTTTTTTCCATTGCTAAGTGACTGTATTTCTCTTTGAAATTAATAAGTATTTAGGAGGGAATGTTTTGAGAATATGCAAATATCTTGCTCTTCCAAAACTTTTACCCACCAATTTTACCATTTATTGGTGGATTTTTTTTTTCAGAAATTATTACTATGGCATGCTAAGGATGCTTTTCTATGTCACTTGTTCCTTTTTATGTATTAATTAGAAATGTTTGGTAAGGAAGGGCTATCTCTTATCCCTCAATTATTTATTTGTCAATGTATTTAATAATTTAAATCAGTGTGGATTTATAGATATTTATTTTATTCTTTGGTTTATAATATTATTTTTAATTTTTTTACAAAAATTGTTCCAGTTTTGGCCTTTGAAGGCTCTTTCAGATTGGCCCTTGTGTCTACTGGGCCTTTTGGGTAGGTCAATGTCTCCTTAATGTAGATAGAAAAGAGGAAGATTTACTTCCATTGATTCTGTTTGCTTATTTTACATCTGCCAGGACATTTTATTTTTAAATGAATTTTTAATATATATTTTAAAAATTGCTAAAACATACACAAAGGATACAACATGAAACGTGTATTAAAGAAAACCAAGCTACTCCACCAATATGTGACTGTTAGATCTCTCCCAATTTAATCAGGAATTATGACTAAGACTGGGAGAAAATGCTCCCTAACAGTATACGATTCAGTGATTGAGAATATACCAAAGCAAAGGCATCATCTAATCAAATATGGACAGCTGAGCATATATATTCAATCACAACATATTGTAATATTTCCCACATGTCCATAGTATCTTAGCTGTTATAATTAAAAGTACATTATGGCATGAAGACTGACCATCTCTTTGTTCTATTTTAAGAATTATATTCCTCTGTTCACAAGTAACGTTGAACTATATTATTTACATGTTTTTAAAATTTTAAAATCTATGAGTCTTATAAACAGAATAAAATTTGTTTTAAAGTCTTAATTTCCTTCAGTTCCATCATGTTGCCATGAATAACAGGAATGACAGGATATCATTCTTCTTTATGGCTGAATAGTATTCCACTGTGCATATATATATATATATGCATATATATGTGATTATATATATGCATATATATATGTGATTATATATATGCATATATATGTGATTATATATGCATATATGTGATTATATATATATGCATATATATATATGTGATTATATATATCACATTTTCTCTATCGATTTATTTGTTGTTGGACACTTTGCTTTCTTCCATATCTTGGCTATTGTGAATAGTGCTACAGTAAACATGTGGGTGCAGATAGGACATTACATTAAGTGAATTAAGCCAGGAACAGAAAATTAAGCACTGCAAGTTCTCACTCATATATGGAAGCCAAAAAATGTTGATTTCATAGAATCAAAAAGTAGAACAAAGGATACTAGAGGCTGGGAAGGGTAGAGGGAAAGGAAAGATAGGGAGAGATTTGTTAAAGGATACCAAATTACAGCTAGGTAGGAGGAATAAGTTCTAGTGTTCCATACCACTGTAGGATGACAATATTAACAATAATATATAGTTCCAAATAGCTGGAAGGAGAATATTGAATTTGTCCAGCACAAAGAAATGACAAAACTTTGAGATGTTGGATGTACCATTTACCCTGATCTGATCACTATACACTATATGTATCAAAAACCACTATATACCCCATAAATATGTACAATCATTACCTGTCCATTCAAAATAAAATTAAAAAATTAAGTCTTAATTTCAATGGCACATTACATAAGTGCTCTAAGAGATCTTTTTCTATGTATTAATATTTTCTTGAGGCTATCACATCATAACTTTGGTAAAAGAAGCTTTTGGACAAAATAAAATCACTTTTAAGAAATGCTCTAATATGGATACAGTTGGAAGTCATTATCCTAAGTGAATTAACACAGGAACAGAAAACCAGATACTGCATGTTCTAACTTTTAAATGCGAGCTAAACGATGGGTACTCATGGACATAAAAATGGCAACCACAGACACCGGGACTGCAAGAAGGGGCATGGAGAGAGGGAGGCAAGGATTGAAAAACTATGCTCAGTGCCTGGGTGACAGGATGAATCACGCCCCAAACCTCAGCATCACACAATATACCAGCTAACAAACCTGCATATGCACCCCTGAATCTAAAATAAAATTAGAAACTAAAAGAAAAATAAATGCATAGAAAGGATCCCAACTCTTTGTTGCTTAGATGATGATTTCTCTGCACCAGCACACAGAGACTCATGCCATCAGGAACACTGGGCAGAGGTTGTTTTGTTCGTATACTGTGCTCCAGTAACAACTGGCCTCCCACTGTGCCCTGGGCAGTACAGCACAGATAGCACCTGCAAAGGTACAGAAACCAGGGCTCATGGGGACACCTATCAGCTGAGAAGAGTAACAATCTCACTTGATGCAATTAAGATGGCATAGATTTCAAGCAGTAATTGGTTTATTCTGATAGCTCCCAGTCTGTACTATCCTTTGTTCCCCTCCCCCAGGCTATTTCTCCCTAATCTAGTATATCTCACCCTCAGCTTCCAGCTTCCTTGAAAAGGGAAACTTTGTTTTTCTTCTTGTCTGCCCCAGGATCCCTAAATCCCTCTTTGCTTCTTGCCTTATCCACTTTGAAACTCTTCCACTATCCTTCCTCACATGGCTGATAGCAGTGCACTGCCTACCACACACATCTTGACAGCTTGGTCCTTGGTTAACATCCTCATCTTCTTCTTATCTTATATTTAGAATAAGAGCTTGTCACCATCTTAGACCAGATCCATCTCATTCTCTTCTGATTTTTATATTGATGCCTTTTTCTAATTTGCTAATTATCCAATCCTTCTCACTCTCGTTAACCTAATTCTGTGTACTCTTAAAATTTATATTTGAAAGAGCCATAAGAGGACCTCAAGATCCTTAAGAAGCATTTCTTTATTCTTTGTCCCATCCCCATCTCTCTTTCTCTTTCTCTCTCTCTCTCACACACACACACAATTTTTTTTTTTACAACTCTGACACCTAATCCAACTCACTTTCATGACTTGCAACACAACCTCTATAAGGAAATATTGCCCCCTTTCCCCATCCCATCACTTAAATAGAACTTATGTTGCCTAGATTTTTAAACTCTTCTAGATTCAAATAGGCTGACAACTTTCAAATTTACCTAGAACTCTTTTAAGTGTTTGGGATAGGGGAATTCATTTTCATCACAAATGTGATAATGGTTGTCTTCCCCATGTGAACCTCTGTAAGGTTCTGAAAATTTAGTATAGTAAAATAACTTCCATTAACAATTTATTATCATTATGAAGGTATGCAAACTTTATTTGAGCAAAATTCCATGTTCACTCTTTTAAGATTAAAGTATTAGTTTTTCCTCATGGGATTTTTTTTCATGTTCTATATGTTCATTCTTCATATTATATATGTTCTTCCAATTTTTAGCAAACCATTTCATGCAGCTTTCCTCCTTGATTTTATTTACTTACTAGAATAAATTTAGAGCCAAGGATTGGTTCAACATTGCAACAAACTGAAGAATAGCATTCACATCTCTACATGAAAATCTGAGGTCTTAAACATAATTTCTTTTAAATAAGTGAGATTTCCAGTTAAAGAGAATTAAATGCAAGGACATGATAAAATATTGAGGAACGCAAATGATATAACTCTACAAATGCAAAGAGAAGGTGCGAGAAGACATCAGTGGTGTGGAAGTTTCAATAGATCTTTGAAAAAACTGAAAGGTGATGGAGAAATTATAGTTGATTAAACAAGACACAGGAAGCCAAAGTTTAAAGGGTGTGCAGAGGGGAAAGAAATGATATGAGAGTCAGTTGTCCATATGGAATCAGGAGAGGTGATGGAAGCAAAAGGTATGGGAACATGGGGTGAGAAATGCTGTGGAAAATTGGATGATTTGGATGTCTGTATTGGAAACACTTCTCAAACATCCCTTAGCCCCATAACCCAGAATGCCAGGCAGAAAGCTGTAGGTCATTTATGATGTTAAGCAGGATAGTCTTAGGACTCAGGGGCAGTAGAGCTGATGAAGGTAAGAGATGAGTCAAAAGGCTGAAAACTGAGTAGAGGGCATTCTGTGAAGGTGAAAATGAAAAATGAAAAACCTATCATTTCCCAACTGTAAATAATTTACTCTTCTCAGCCAAGCAGTTGTTGGAGCCAGCAGGCTGATGGAGATTGAAGTCCAGGAGCAAAGACCTGGACTTTTTTAGCAGCTCCTTGGAGAGAGCTCATGAAGGACTGTCTCAGCTCTGGATTCAATGGGGACCTGACATCCAGTGTCAGAAAGTCCATAATAAGCACAGCACATGGCAAGCTTCTAACGGCTCCTCAGAGAGAAGGCCATCAATCTATACGACTGTAACAGGTAGGACTGGAAACCGTAGAGCAAACACTGAACAAGAGGCCAAGCCCTCTCAATTTTCAAACCTGCAAACAAATAAACAAACCAAAGACAAGGGTGACAGAGACTGCCACTTGTTGTCTAAACAAGGGATTATTATACTGGCTAACGCTATACACCCATCCCTAGAAGGAAAAACCAGTATAATGTCAACATTTAAGATAACTCAGAGACCCAACCTGACAACCTGAGCCCCAGTTATTAGAAAAAGAATAATAATAACTTGGCTGGGCGCAGTGGCTCACACCTGTAATCCCAGCACTTTGGAAGGCCGAGGCGGGTGGATCACGAGGTCAGGAGATCGAGACCATCCTGGCTAACACAGTGAAACCCCGTCTCTACTAAAAATACAAAAAATTAGCCAGGCGTGGTGGTGGGCACCTGTAGTCCCAGCTACTCAGGAGGCTGAGGCAGGAGAATGGCGTGAACCCAGGAGGCGGAGCTTGCAGTGGGCTGAGATGGCGCCACTGTACTCCAGCCAGGGCGACAGAGCAAGACTCCGTCTCAAAAAAAAAAAAAAGAAAAAGAGTAACAACTCACCCAAGTAGCCAAAGCGCCACACAAACAACAATAAAACAACAACAAAAAACCAGAACTCTCAGAATAAGCCGCTGAAACCAGCACGTAACTTGAATTAAAAAAAAATGAGAATTTAATGAAATTTAGATAAGTGTAATTCCAAGGCCTTCACTTCATATCCTGTGGTGGACAGATTTTTAGGTGGCCATCATGGTCCCTGCATTTTAACGATTGCTATTCCTTCCTCTTACATGTGGGTAGAACCTGTGATTTGCTTCTGATCAGTAGAAAACAGCAAAGGTGATGAAATATATGTAACTATGTTACCTAAGGTTGAAGTGTCCGTTTCTCTGCCATTTCTCTCACCCTTACTGATTGTGAGGAGGAAAGCAGCCATGTTGGGGAACCTCACATGGCAAGGAACTGCAGGTGACCTCTGAGAGCTGGGAATGGCCTGTGACCAACAGAAACTAAAAGCTCTCAGTTCTACAGTCACAAGGAACATAATGCTGCCAGCAACCATGAAAGCAGGGAAGTGGCTAATTCCCCATTCAAGCTCCAGATGATACTACAGCCCTGGGTGTTCCACCTTGATTGCAGGCTTGTGAGACCCTAAAGCAGAGGACTCAGCAAAGCCATGCCCAGGCTCCTGATCCACAGGAACTGTGAGATAATTAATTTGTATTTGGGCCTCCAAGTTTGTGGAAATAATCTTATGCAGCAATAGATAACTAATGCATAGATCTCAATGTGATCTGATGTTTGCAATTCGCAATTTGCACAATCATGCATGGTAATCTTCGGTGGACAGGAGGAGGAGGACAAGATGGAAAGAGATACAGGTGAAAAAAGAAAAGACTTTATAAAAATATTTGGTACAGTCCCATTTGTGTTAAAATTATGTATGTTCATTAATAATTGGAAAATATGTAAGTGAAAAGCAGATGGTGTAGTAATGAATATATTCAGTAATTCTTTTTCATTAAAAATAATCAAAGAAAATCAGCACATCACAGTTTTCCATATGGGTAAATGCATTTATAGATTACTATGCATTTTTTGGCTCCATGACTTTTAGCTCTTTATAGCACAAGTATTCTGCCTTTGCAAACAAATCTCTAGTTTCATATAAGATGAAAATTTCTGAAACACTTTTTTCATACCTAGAAGATTCATCTAAACCCTAGATATTCCAGGGTTTAGGTTTCACACAACACTATGGCTCCATGCTCCCCAGTTTTCTTTGATAAAATGTGCTTCATTAAATATTTTTCTATTGGTTGCTCAAGTTGATCCTCTACTCATTACCCTTCTGCTTTCCCTGTCATTAACAACACTTGCAATCTCAGACAGATGCAATTTCAATAGGCTGTCAATTACCTTTAATTTTCAAAGTGAGATGATGATTGAATTGTGAATTTTTGTTCAATTTTAATCCCCTGGATTTGGAGAAGTTAATGATTCATTTTGATAACTTGCATTATTTCTTATTTATCATCCTTGAAAGCACTTCATGAATAAGCTGTTCATTTAATTCGTCTTTTACAAAGGTATTAGCATTTTTACTCTCCTTTATAAATAATCTTGAAATGACATTTTATTTCAAAGCAATTCTAGGAAAATCACAGTAGGATAAAACAAGAAGGGTCTCAATAAGATGAAAGCATTTTTCATAATAGATATGTTTCTAGATTTTGAGTTCACAGATCACTAGGTTTGTAATCATGACTGCTCTCTGGAAAAAAGAAAGGAGGGTTTATATGTATTTTTTAAACAAACATGGAAAAATAATTTTACAATTTTTCAATAGTGTTGAAATATTTGTGCTACTCAGAATATAGCCTCATATCATTCATTAGTTCATCTAACCACTAGCTTTACCACACCTTTACAATCATGTATATGTATAATAAACGTATATATGAATTGTAACTAAGGCATATGTGACTTTAAGATGTTTGCTGGTTTTAGGTCTGTAGGTGTCAATTATTCATTTATTCAGCAAATTAGGCAACACTGCATTAGTTGGAAACTATGCAATACTGAGTAAGAAAACCAAAATATTCCTTAATCCCATGGAGCACACAATATACACAATATATAGCAGAAAGAGTCTTATGAGAGAATCATACCAATAATTAAACTGTCACAAATATCGTAAGTCCTATTAAGAAGATACATCTGTTGCCCTAAGTTGACATGTGGGAGAGACTTAGGAAGGTGGGTCAGGGCTTCCTTGAGAAAGTGAAGAGTGAGCTAACTCTGAAGGCAGAGCAGGATGACCCTAGTGAAAGTGTTTGGGGAGTGTTCCAGGATGGAGGAAAATCCTGTGCAAAGTCCTGGAATGAGAAGGAGCCTGACAGGTTGGAGGCACAGGACATCTGGGCAGGAGCACTGAGAGTGAAGGAAAACGGGGAAGACGTGAGCTAAAGGGCCACAGGGACAAGACCAGGACTTCTGCAACAGGGTTGCCTTGGAAGTCACCTGGGTAGTGTGGGCCACCCAGACCCATTCAAGGAGGATCTCTAGGGCAGGACTCGGGCACTAGTATAAAGTGCCCCGGAGATTCCAAGGTCCATCCAGTGTTCAGAGATGCTTGACTAGGGCAGGCAGGGCCCTCAGCCATGTTAGGATTCTAGTTATTTTCCTAAGATCAATGTGTTTTTATTAAAACGTAACAAGTTCAGATTTGGGGGTTGAGAATAACATTTAAGCTACTATGTGGGAAATATATTAATGGCTCATGATATAGTGGATGCAAAGAGAATCAGGAGGCTATTGGAATAGTTCCCAAGAGGAGAAAATAATGAGATGGCTAGAGTACTGAAGAAATAAAATGAAATAAAAAAGTAATTTAAATACTATATTTTCACTGGGCGCAGTGGATCATGCCTGTAATCCCAGCACTTTGGGAGGCCAAGGCGGGAGGACTTCTTGAGATCAGGAGCTTGAGACCAGCCTGGGCAACATGGCAAAACCCTGTCTCTACAAAAAATACAAAACTTAGCTGGCTGTGGTGGCGTGCACCTGTAATACCAGCTACTTGGGAGGCTGAGATGGGAGGATCACTTGAGCCCCGAGGCAGAGGTTGCAGTGAGCTGAGATCCAACCACTGCACTCTAGCCTGGGTGACAGAGCCAGACCCTGTCTCAAAATAATAATAACAGTTTTTTTACTTTGTTTCAAGTGAGATTAAAGAACTTTTAAATAATTGTAATGGGTTTATTGGAGACATTACTCCACTGTCTTTATGTATCCAGTGTTGCTGTTGAAAAGTCTAACAGTCATACTCTTGTTCATTTTTAGGTGATTGCCTTTTTCTCTTCAGAAAATTCTAGAATATTCTCTTTTATGTTTTCAAGTCACAGGACAATGTGCTTAGCTGAAGTTTTAACGTTTTTAATTTTATATAATGTTTTCCTTATTTATCATGTTTGGCACTGTATGCATTTCTTCAGCCAGAAGTCTGATATATCTTTCTTTAATTCTAGGAAATTCTGGTTATTTTTTCAACTCTTCCCTCCTTCTTTTCATGACTTATATTAAATAATGCTGATCCTACTACCTCTAATTTCTCACTCTTTCTGTCTCTCACTCTGTAATCGGTATGTTTTTAAACATACATACTTTAAATAAACATATACATATGTGTTTTATATAGGTATATAAAATACACATATATAAACATATATATGTGTGTAAACATATATACATAATATATATGTGTGTCTTTAACATTTGTTTCCTGCTTTTCATTATTTTTATCCCTTGTTGATTCATTCTGAGAGTTCTTCAACTTGAGCCTATAGTTTAAATCATTTTTCAGTGGTTTACATTCTTCTATTGTACCCATCCATTGCGTTCTCCATTTCAATGACAATAGATTTCATCCTAATACCTCCAACTGGATCCTCTCTATAATTGCTTGCTATTTCATCATGTTTCCAATATCTCCTCCTATTTCTCTGAGAATAATATGCTATTTTGAATATCTGTTCTGTGCATTCTGATAGTTTTCCAGTATAAGTTGTTTATTTGTAGTGTGGCTTTTTCCCCTGCTGTGTTCTGGCTTCATAAGTGTGTTGAGTGGTAATATTGCTTTGGAGAAGGAAAAGAAAAAGAGCAAAAGTTTAGGTTTTGCTTTGTGCTCCTAAAAATGTCCACATGTGCATAACAGGTGTGCACCTCAAGACCTATAATTTTGCAATCAGACTTCTGCCATTCCCTTTTCATCCATCTACCTCCACTCTCAGTTCCCCCGCACCCCCCAACCAGTCGTCACCAGAACTCTTCCCAGGACTTCAGTCCTGCTCTTATGGGGTGGCTGCTTGTAACAGCCAATGGGTTGGGCTGTTGAGAGGCCAGCTAGGCAATCAGAACTCCTTGCATAAGGCTCCCAATTTAAGCTCACATATGGCACTTCCTTGTGTTCTCTCTTATCCTCATTTTTTGCTATTGCTTTCTTGTCCAGTATCAAATAGATGGAGAATAATCTAGGACTTTGGATTTCAAGGCAGTAGCACGGGCCTAGCCTGGGTAAAGAAATGAATGTAATTAGAATACTCTTCTCTTGCCATCCCCGGCTGGAATCCAGGCCACAGTTCCTGAGCTATGCCAATGCTCCTACTCCACTAGGAGCTTACTCTCAGTGATATACTTAGTCTTCTCAAGCTTTCGTCTTGGTTTCTTAGTTATTTACTGATTAGAGTTCTGAGATCTATCAGCCTCCCTCCTTCTGCTCTGCAGCCTCCACTGTTAGTTATATGAGTTGAGATAATAGCCATCAGAGCTTACCATTTCCTTATTGAATGATCCCCAGTAATTTAGAATCTCTTCTTATCTTTTACCAAGACCTTTTGTCAATATATGCATATGATTAATTTGCCCATTAACTTCTTCCACAATTAGTTTTCAATCTTCAGAAAACTCTCCTTCTTTTTCTGGGTTGTTTCTAAATACCTTCTCCCTCATTGCTTTACTTCTAGAAGAATGTAAACCACTATGATAAGTCTTCCCAGGCATAAAAAGCATTACATTTTTTATAAAATTACACTGCTATCAATTTTTCTTATAGTTCCAGTTTTTACCTCATGTATTTAGATGCTCTGACATGTTTTGCATAAAAGTTTATGACTTTATGGGGTATTTAAAAATATTATTTATATGTAATATTAAACCTTTAACTTAATACTGTGACTATACTTACAATATTTGTCAAATAAATCTTTTCCTATTTGCTTTATATTATTTTTTAGGTATATCTCAGGTATAGATTAAATATTTTTAAAGATATTACATAATCTTTCGCTTTTATGGAGGAGTATAAGCTTTCTATATTTATTAACATGTGATATACTTAGTTTTACTTTTGCCTGGTTTTCCTAATTTTGTTTATATTTATTTGTTTATATTTTATTGTCATTTTGTTTTGTCTTTTGCCATATGGATCATTTTATTTGCTAGTGATTCAGCAATTTGAACATTATATATTATACTTTTAATTAATTTTAATTAATTTTAATTATTTTAATTAATTTTTAAATAAGGATTTTCCTATTAAATGAAGGAAAACTATAAGGTGATAAATTTAACATATCATTATTCTTCTTACAGTATAAGCTCCCAGTAGTTTTAATATAATATGGACTTTGTTTTAAACCACTATTCCTTGTTATATTCCACATCCTCTCCTTGAGCAGCAATTTTTAGCATTAGTAATCTTTTCGGATTTAAATTACAATGATTTTATCATCTCAGTTTTTAGCTGGTATAAATGCCGGTTGCCAACTGTTTTATGCTATGACTTTTTCATTCTTGATGTTTGTATTAAATCGAGATGCTAACCTTGATTATCAGGATTGTAAACATTAAAGATTCTCTAGTTGAAGTGCAAATATAGATTTGGCACAAAGCAATCATTTAATAAAACTACTAATTTTATTTATAGTCTTACTTTTTGGAGTGCATGAGAAGACTTTTTTTTTTTTTTTTTTGAGGCGGAGTCTCGCTCTGTTTTCCAGGCTGTAGTGCAGTGGCACACTCTCGGCTCATCACAAGCTCTGCCTCCCAGGTTCAAGTGACTCTCCTGCCTCAGCCTCCTGAATAGCTGGGACTACAGGCGCACACCACCATGACCTGCTAATTTTTGTATTTTTAGTAGAGATGGGGTTTCACTATGTTGGCCAGGCTGGTCTCGAACTCCTGACCTCATGATCCTCCTGCCTTGGCCTCCCACCAAATTGCTGAGATTATAGGCATGAGCCACCATGCCCAACTGAGAAGACATTTTAAATAAGTAAAATAGTTACTATTTAAAAACTATTAATGACATTATTTGTAATTCATCACATCAAAAATATGTCTTCCATAAGTTTTTTCCCAAGTAAAATTCAGAGTAGAATTTCTGTATCCTTGCACAGATAAACATTTTTTTCTGTCATCTGAATGCACACATTTGTTTAAGTATAATAGATTTGTAGCATATTTTTAAAATTTGCACATTTTTATCTTAAATTTGTTTCTGTGCTTAGTTTTTTAGAAGATAAATATGGGTTACCTTATTTTATCACCATTATAGCATGTTTTCTCTCCTCATTCCCCTTCCTCTTTCTTCTCTTCCTTCCTCTCTCATCTGGTTGCCTCTAGAACTTTTTTCTTTGATGTAGTTTATGCTTTCATCTAGATGTAAATATATTTCTATCAACTCTGCCTGGGATATGGTTGATCCATTCCGGCAATACCTGTATCAGTGGGCCTTTGATTATCATTTCTTTTCAGTTATCTTTTTTGCTGCACTTGTTTCAATATTAGAAACTGTGATCAAGACCCAGAAACCAAAGGCAGACTCCTATCATCTCTATCCTCCAAATCCATCATCTTTTCTATAATCACATCCTGCACCTGTCTTTGTATTCTACATTCCTGGAAAAATTTTCAGAACAATTTCTGGTCAGTGTTCAGATTTTCTATTATCACAGTAGTGTCCTTTACCTTATCCAAATAATTACTTAAACTTTGAAGTCACGTTATTTTTTTTTTTTTACGATTTTTTGGCCTGTTTATCTACTCCTATTTTATATATTTTTCCCTGCTTCTCTCATCAATTTCCTCCCCCACCCCTGATTATGGGTGTTTTCATTCAGTTGCCAACATGTGAAAACAGATTTCTTAGAAATCTCATATGCTAGCTTTTTAGGAAGTAAGAGCTCTGACAACACTATATCTCAGATCCCACCTGTAACCATTGGCTGAGGCTCCCCTCTTTAGCTAGAACATTTTCTCTCCAATTTGTCACTGACTCCCCACTCCTTGACACTATGTTTCAGTTGTATTTTATTATTATACTTGTGAGTTTTTTCTTAAGCTAGTGCTAAATAGAAAATAAAATATTTTTATCTTATTTTGGACCCAAATTTCCATCAAAAGATAGGGGAGAGGGATGAAAGACAGAGTGAGGAGCTGCTTACTTAAGAAATATATTATAATGGATGTTTTCTTCTGTGGATGTGAAGAATGGTCCTTCATGGATCCTATGCAAGCAAAAACTATCTGTGCCTAAAGATCATGGGTTCAGACATCTTTATAAAACAAATCATAAGGAGACCAGGTAGAAAATACAGAAAAAAAGCAAATGAAAAATTCAATAAGCTAAAAAACATTTAGCTAAAAATTAATATTCACATTTTAATATGCTAGAAGGTTTATTTCTAAAATGTTTTGGGTGATAAAATTAACCCCAAATTAAAAGTTTCCTACAATATTATGTTTATTTTTAAAAATGTATTGAATACAGAGAGATATGTTTTCCAAACAAGAAACAAGCACTTACATTTATAAATATAATTACAATTCTGCTGATTAGAATTTTTAATCTACAGTTTAGAAAAATTAAAGAAAAAAACATGAATAATTTGGGGTGTTTTCTATTGCAACTATTGAAAACAGATAAAAAATATCACTGAGTTAGCCACATCTATAACCTTGATAAAAAAAAAAATTAGTATGAACAATACATTTGGACATTAGTCTATGATAGGCAAAATTCTAGAAAATGCATTCTTTGTGTTAAAAATTTTGAAAAGGTGTAATGTTGTCCCAGCAAAATTAATGTTTATATATAAAGAATATTTCTGAAATTGTTGAAGTTGATCTCGGAACTGTAAGAAAACTTATATTCAAGTTGGTACATTTGGCAGGAATAGGGAGCTTCAATTTAAAAATGATATAGGTAAATTTATTGACATAGGTTTGTGCTAAAAAGTTGAAAATGGAATACGTAATGGACATAATAATTAACATTGTAAACAGAATTAATTCCCATGTCTTGACTCATCCATGAATTAGGTACACAGTAGAGTAGATAGTTGTGTTGCATTGAAGTCAGATCACAGACGGTGATGATGCTTTTTAAACCCTTGAAACAAATTAATTTGCTCATGTCTTTCAAAGAAGATTCGTACCTCATCTTCCCAATGGAAACATAGATCATAATTTTCTTTTTTAGTTTAATACCTCAACAAAATTTCCTTGAATATTTCTATGCAAGCAAATTTATTATTAATTACAAAAGTTTGTGATTTTCTCGTTTTAAATGAAAGCGTGTTGTATTAGTTTTATGGCTTCTGTAATATATTACCATAAAACTTGGTGGCTTAAAACAACAGTCATTTATTCTCTTACAGTTCTGGAGGTCAGAATTCTTAAATCTGTTTCACTAGGCCAAAATCAAGATGTCAGCAGCTCAGGGCTCCCTCCCTCTGGAGGCCCTAAGGTAACACCTGTTCCTTGCCTCTTCCAGCTTCTGATGGTTTCTGGTAATCTTCTGTTTGTGGCTACATCATTCTAATCTCTGTCTTCATGGTCACATTGCCTCCTCCTCTTCTGTATGTCTAATCTTCCCCTGTCTCTCTCTCTTATAAGGACATATGTGATAGCATTTAGGGCCCAGCCAAATAATTCAAAACAATCTCCCAATCTCAAGGTCCTTAACTCTAATTACATCTGCAAAGATACTTTTTGCAAGGTAACAATGATAGGTTCCAGAAATTAGGACTGAATATCTTTGGAGCCACTGTTTAGTTTACTACACATGCCTTTGGGAAACTCATTTGGCAAAGCAAAATCTGGCCTCTTTTCCTTTGCTGAAATTAGTTTTGAGAAATAAAAATAATTTTCTAAATTACATTTCCAATACTGTGGGGATAAAATTAAATTCAAAACAAGGTTTTACAGTCATAGAGTTTATGAAAATGAAATAAAATTGATTGGTTCTCTTTCCCAATCAACACCAATGGTATGCATGAAAAAAATACAAATAAAAATTGTTGCACTGGAGGGCAAAATGGTACTGAAAAGTCACAGAAAGAAAATGGATATTCCTGATTGGTTGACAGCTTCTCTACAAATATTGATACAGGGACCAAGTGTCCTTCTGTCTCTTGACTTCATTATCTTCAAAACACAGCTTCCTGCACTGCTACAGAATAGAAAACAACATGGAAGCTGATAATGTGGGAGAGTTTTCTAGGCCAGGCCTGGCAGTGGTAACCCTCACTTTCTTTTATATCTTACTGTCTGTAAGTCATGCTATGAACTGAATACTTGTATCTTCCCCCCAAATTTACATGTTGAAATCCCAACTCCCAAGATAATGGTGTTAGGAGGTAGAGCTTTGGGGAGGTAAACTGGTCTTGAGGGCAAAGCCCTCATGGGTGGGAATAATATTCTTACAAAAGAGACTCTAGACAGAACTGTCACCCCTTTCACTGTGTGAGGACACAGCAAGAAGGTGCCATACGTGAGGACGTGGACCCTCATCAGATAGGAGATCTGCTAGTTCCTTAATCTTGGACTTTCTAGCCTCCAGAACTGTGGGAAATAAGTTTCTGTTGTTCATAAGCTACCTAGTTCAAGGTATTTTTGTTACAGCAACCCAAATAGATGAAGACAACTCAGTTACACCTAAATGCAAATGAATATGAAATATATTATCTAACTGCTATCCCAGAAAAAAGAAGAAATGGATAAGTGAATAAGTAGCAGTCTCTTCCACAACTCTTCTTCCTAACCTAAAAACAAATAGAAAAGAAATAAAAAAAATAAAAACAAGAATTTGATCTTCAATGAAACAAGAAAATGTCCCAGCCTTAAATCTTAAATCATACAATATCTGTGCATCAGTGATCATATAGAAACAAAAATTGGTAAGAACACAAAGAAGTAATATATGTTTGGTAAGTCTACATGCTTTTGTGAAAGAAGTTACAGTAAACAAAAGCATAGAATAGAATGACAAAATTTTCAACCAAGAATGAACCATTGAATAACAAGATGATATCTCAGTCAAAACCCAGTTCATTCTGTATGATAGCAAGAGATGAGTAGTAGCTGCGGAAGAAGTCTTATTTATAAACCATCTTTGTTGCTAAATCATACCTCCTTTGTTTAAAGAAAGCACAGAAAATGAATCAATTTTTTAAAAAAAGAAGAAAGGAAAGAACTTAAATAAAAGGCAATGCGAACACACATTACAAGAAGAATATAAGAATTTCCCAAAGAAAACGAAGTGTGCAACGAAACGGTTTCCACTATTCTCAAACAAACTAAACACACATGATTCCTTTTTTAAAAAGAGCTTAAAGATCACATGACAATGTCTAGGAAGAGACTGTACAAAAGAGAAAAACAGAAAACTGAACTGGGAGAACTTAGAAAAGAAATGGAAGAATACAATGGAAGCATACAAAATGAAAAAATTAAAATAGTACAGATTTTAAAGACATATTTGAAATAATAAAAATACAATAAACCTGACTGAAAATGCCTTGGACATGGTGAATAGGTTAAAGATAAATCAAACAAAAGTGATATTGTGAAGATGGTAGATATTTACAAGGGACAAAGTAAATATTAAAATGACAATAAAAACAAACAGAGAGAAACAAATAATCCAAGTTGTGGTATAAAAAAATACCTTCTTGAAATAAAGACAGAGAAGAGTTTTGAAATTTTAAGGGTCAAGACTTCCATTTAAAAATAACTCAGAGAGGGGAGGAGCCAAGATGGCGGAATAGGAACAGCTCCGGTCTACAGCTCCCAGCGTGAGCGACGCAGAAGATGGGAGATTTCTGCATTTCCATCTGAGGTACCGGGTTCATCTCACTAGGGAGTGCCAGACAGTGGGCGCAGGCCAGTGTGTGCGTGCACCGTGCGCGAGCCGAAGCAGGGCGAGGCATTGCCTCACCTGGGAAGCGCAAGGGGTCAGGGAGTTCCCTTTCCGAGTCAAAGAAAGGGGTGACAGACGGCACCTGGAAAATCGGGTCACTCCCACCCGAATATTGCGCTTTTCAGACCGGCTTAAAAAACGGTGCACCACGAGACTATATCCCACACCTGGCTCAGAGGGTCCTACGCCCACGGAATCTCGCTGATTGCTAGCACAGCAGTCTGAGATCAAACTGCAAGGCGGCAACGAGGCTGGGGGAGGGGCGCCCGCCATTGCCCAGGCTTGCTTAGGTAAACAAAGCAGCAGGGAAGCTCGAACTGGGTGGAGCCCACCACAGCTCAAGGAGGCCTGCCTGCCTCTGTAGGCTCCACCTCTGGGGGCAGGGCACAGACAAACAAAAAGACAGCAGTAACCTCTGCAGACTTAAGTGTCCCTGTCTGACAGCTTTGAAGAGAGCAGTGGTTCTCCCAGTACGCAGCTGGAGATCTGAGAACCAGCAGACTGCCTCCTCAAGTGAGTCCCTGACCCCTGACCCCCGAGCAGCCTAACTGGGAGGCACCCCCCAGCAGGGGCACACTGACACCTCACACGGCAGGGTATTCCAACAGACCTGCAGCTGAGGGTCCTGTCTGTTAGAAGGAAAACTAACAACCAGAAAGGACATCTACACCGAAAACCCATCTGTACATCACCATCATCAAAGACCAAAAGTAGATAAAACCACAAAGATGAGGAAAAAACAGAACAGAAAAACTGGAAACTCTAAAAAGCAGAGCGCCTCTCCTCCTCCAAAGGAACGCAGTTCCTCACCAGCAACGGAACAAAGCTGGATGGAGAATGATTTTGACGAGCTGAGAGAAGAAGGCTTCAGACGATCAGATTACTCTGAGCTACGGGAGGACATTCAAACCAAAGGCAAAGAAGTTGAAAACTTTGAAAAAAATTTAGAAGAATGTATAACTAGAATAACCAAGACAGAGAAGTGCTTAAAGGAGCTGATGGAGCTGAAAACCAAGGCTGGAGAAATACGTGAAGAATGCAGAAGCCTCAGGAGCTGATGCGATCAACTGGAAGAAAGGGTATCAGCAATGGAAGATGAAATGAATGAAATGAAGCGAGAAGGGAAGTTTAGAGAAAAAAGAATAAAAAGAAATGAGCAAAGCCTCCAAGAAATATGGGACTATGGGAAAGACCAAATCTACGTCTGATTGGTGTACCTGAAAGTGATGGGGAGAATGGAACCAAGTTGGAAAACCCTCTGCAAGATATTATCCAGGAGAACTTCCCCAATCTAGCAAGGCAGGCCAACGTTCAGATTCAGGAAATACAGAGAACGCCACAAAGATACTCCTCGAGAAGAGCAACTCCAAGACACATAATTGTCAGATTCACCAAAGTTGAAATGAAGGAAAAAATGTTAAGGGCAGCCAGAGAGAAAGGTCGGGTTACCCTCAAAGGAAAGCCCATCAGACTAACAGCGGATCTCTCGGCAGAAACCCTACAAGCCAGAAGAGAGTGGGGGCCAATATTCAACATTCTTAAAGAAAAGAATTTTCAACCCAGAATTTCATATCCAGCCAAACTAAGCTTCATAAGTGAAGGAGAAATAAAATACTTTATAGACAAGCAAATGCTGAGAGATTTTGTCACCACCAGGCCTGCCCTAAAAGAGCTCCTGAAGGAAGCACTAAACATGGAAAGGAACAACCGGTACCAGCCGCTGCAAAATCATGCCAAAATGTAAAGACCATCGAGACTAGGAAGAAACTGCATCAACTAATGAGCAAAATCACCAGCTAACATCATAATGACAGGATCAAATTCACACATAACAATATTAACTTTAAATATAAATGGACTAAATTCTGCAATTAAAAGACACAGACTGGCAAGTTGGATAAAAAGTCAAGACCCATCAGTGTGCTGTATTCAGGAAACCCATCTCACGTGCAGAGACACACATAGGCTCAAAATAAAAGGATGGAGGAAGATCTACCAAGCAAATGGAAAACAAAAAAAGGCAGGGGTTGCAATCCTAGTCTCTGATAAAACAGACTTTAAACCAACAAAGATCAAAAGAGACAAAGAAGGCCATTACATAATGGTAAAGGGATCAATTCAACAAGAGGAGCTAACTATCCTAAATATTTATGCACCCAATACAGGAGCACCCAGATTCATAAAGCAAGTCCTGAGTGACCTACAAAGAGACTTAGACTCCCACACATTAATAATGGGAGACTTTAACACCCCACTGTCAACATTAGACAGATCCATGAGACAGAAAGTCAACAAGGATACCCAGGAATTGAACTCAGCTCTGCACCAAGCGGACCTAATAGACATCTACAGAACTCTCCACCCCAAATCAACAGAATATACGTTTTTTTCAGCACCACACCACACCTATTCCAAAATTGACCACATACTTGGAAGTAAAGCTCTCCTCAGCAAATGTAAAAGAACAGAAATTATAACAAACTATCTCTCAGACCACAGTGCAATCAAACTAGAACTCAGGATTAAGAATCTCACTCAAAGCCGCTCAACTACATGGAAACTGAACAACCTGCTCCTGAATGACTACTGGGTACATAACGAAATGAAGGCAGAAATAAAGATGTTCTTTGAAACCAACGAGAACAAAGACACCACATACCAGAATCTCTGGGACACATTCAAAGCAGTGTGTAGAGGGAAATTTATAGCACTAAATGCCTACAAGAGAAAGCAGGAAAGATCCAAAATTGACACCCTAACATACAATTAAAAGAACTAGAAAAGCAAGAGCAAACACATTCAAAAGCTAGCAGAAGGCAAGAAATAACAAAAATCAGAGCAGAACTGAAGGAAATAGAGACACAAAAAACCCTTCAAAAAATCAATGAATCCAGGAGCTGGTTTTTTGAAAGGATCAACAAAATTGATAGACCACTAGCAAGACTAATAAAGAAAAAAAGAGAGAAGAATCAAATAGACGCAATAAAAAATGATAAAGGGGATATCACCACCGATCCCACAGAAATACAAACTACCATCAGAGAATACTACAAACACCTCTACGCAAATAAACTAGAAAATCTAGAAGAAATGGATAAATTCCTCAACACATACACTCTCCCAAGACTAAACCAGGAAGAAGTTGAATCTCTGAATAGACCAATAACAGGCTCTGAAATTGTGGCAATAATCAATAGTTTACCAACCAAAAAGAGTCCAGGACCAGATGGATTCACAGCCGAATTCTACCAGAGGTACAAGGAGGAACTGGTACCATTCCTTCTGAAACTATTCCAATCAATAGAAAAAGAGGGAATCCTCCCTAACTTATTTTATGAGGCCAGCATCATTCTGATACCAAAGCCGGGCAGAGACACAACCAAAAAAGAGAATTTTAGACCAATATCCTTGATGAACATTGATGCAAAAATCCTCAATAAAATACTGGCAAACCGAATCCAGCAGCACATCAAAAAGCTTATCCACCATGATCAAGTGGGCTTCATCCCTGGGATGCAAGGCTGGTTCAATATACGCAAATCAATAAATGTAATCCAGCATATAAACAGAGCCAAAGACAAAAACCACATGATTATCTCAATAGATGCAGAAAAAGCCTTTGACAAAATTCAACAACCCTTCATGCTAAAAACTCTCAATAAATTAGGTATTGATGGGACGTATTTCAAAATAATAAGAGCTATCTATGACAAACCCACAGCCAATATCATACTGAATGGGCAAAAACTGGAAGCATTCCCTTTGAAAACTGGCACAAGACAGGGATGCCCTCTCTCACCACTCCTATTCAACATAGCGTTGGAAGTTCTGGCCAGGGCAATCAGGCAGGAGAAGGAAATAAAGGGTATTCAATTAGGAAAAGAGGAAGTCAAATTGTCCCTGTTTGCAGACGACATGATTGTTTATCTAGAAAACCCCATTGTCTCAGCCCAAAATCTCCTTAAGCTGATAAGCAACTTCAGCAAAGTCTCAGGATACAAAATCAATGTACAAAAATCACAAGCATTCTTATACACCAACAACAGACAAACAGAGAGCCAAATCATGAGTGAACTCCCATTCACAATTGCTTCAAAGAGAATAAAATACCTAGGAATCCAACTTACAAGGTATGTGAAGGACCTCTTCAAGGAGAACTACAAACCACTGCTCAAGGAAATAAAAGAGGATACAAACAAATGGAAGAACATTCCATGCTCATGGGTAGGAAGAATCAATATCGTGAAAATGGCCACACTGCCCAAGGTAATTTACAGATTCAATGCCATCCCCATCAAGCTACCAATGACTTTCTTCACAGAATTGGAAAAAACTACTTTAAAGTTCATATGGAACCAAAAAAGAGCCCGCATCGCCAAGTCAATCCTAAGCCAAAAGAACAAAGCTGGAGGCATCACACTACCTGACTTCAAACTATACTACAAGGCTACAATAACCAAAACAGCATGGTACTGGTACCAAAACAGAGATATAGATCAATGGAACAGAACAGAGCCCTCAGAAATAATGCCGCATATCTACAACTATCTGATCTTTGACGAACCTGAGAAAAACAAGCAATGGGGAAAGGATTCCCTATTTAATAAATGGTGCTGGGAAAACTGGCTAGCCATATGTAGAAAGCTGAAACTGGATCCCTTCCTTACACCTTATACAAAAATCAATTCAAGATGGATTAAAGATTTAAACGTTAGACCTAAAACCATAAAAACCCTAGAAGAAAACCTAGGCATTACCATTCAGGACATAGGCGTGGGCAAGGACTTCATGTCCAAAACACCAAAAGCAATGGCAACAAAAGCCAAAATTGACAAATGGGATCTAATTAAACTAAAGAGCTTCTGCACAGCAAAAGAAACTACCATCAGAGTGAACAGGCAACCTACAACATGGGAGAAAATTTTCGCAACCTACTCATCTGACAAAGGGCTAATATCCAGAATCTACAATGAACTCAAACAAATTTACAAGAAAAAAACAAACAACCCCATCAAAAAGTGGGCGAAGGACATGAACAGACACTTCTCAAAAGAAGACATTTATGCAGCCAAAAAACACATGAAAAAATGCTCATCTTCACTGGCCATCAGAGAAATGCAAATCAAAACCACTATGAGATATCATCTCACACCAGTTAGAATGGCAATCATTAAAAAGTCAGGAAACAACAGGTGCTGGAGAGGATGTGGAGAAATAGGAACACTTTTACACTGTTGGTGGGACTGTAAACTAGTTCAACCATTGTGGAAGTCAGTGTGGCGATTCCTCAGGGATCTAGAACTAGAAATACCATTTGACCCAGCCATCCCATTACTGGGTATATACCCAAATGACTATAAATCATGCTGCTATAAAGACACATGCACACGTATGTTTATTGCGGCATTATTCACAATAGCAAAGACTTGGAACCAACCCAAATGTCCAACAATGATAGACTTGATTAAGAAAATGTGGCACATATACACCATGGAATACTATGCAGCCATAAAAAATGATGAGTTCATGTCCTTTGTAGGGACATGGATGAAATTGGAAACCATCATTCTCAGTAAACTATCGCAAGAACAAAAAACCAAACACCGCATATTCTCACTCATAGGTGGGAATTGAACAATGAGATCACATGGACACAGGAAGGGGAATATCACACTCTGGGGACTGTGGTGGGGTCGGGGGAGGGGGGAGGGATAGCATTGGGAGATATACCTAATGCTAGATGACACGTTAGTGGGTGCAGCGCACCAGCATGGCACATGTATACATATGCAACTAACCTGCACAATGTGCACATGTACCCTAAAACTTAAAGTATAATACAAAAAAAATAAAAAATAAAAAATAAAAATAACTCAGAGCATTGAAATTACTGAGCTTAAAGGGTTTTTTTTTTTTTTTAATTTTTGATTTTGTATAAGAACCCAAGCACATAAAGAAAATAGCACAAAACAGACTAGTGGGCTACCATAACAGAATGCCTGAGACTGGATAATTTATATGAACAGAAATTTATTTTCTCATAGTTCTGGATGCTGGGAGGTCCAAGATCAAGGAATCAGCATCTGAGAAGAGTTTCTTCCCGTATCATTACATGTGGGAGGAAAAAAAAAAAAAAGCCGAAGAGAGCAAAGGGGACAAAACTCACCCTTTTATAGTGGCATCAATCCCACCCAGAGGCCGGAGACTTTATGGACTAATCACCTCTTCACAGTCCCGCTTCCCTATACTGTCACATTAGCAATTAAATTTCAACATGAGTTTTGGAGAGGACAGACATAAAGATCATAACATTCTCCTTTAGCCTCCCAAAACTCATCTCCTTTTCACATACAAAATACATTCATTCCATCCCAATAGCTCTAAAAGTCTTAACTCATGATAACATCAACCCAAATGTGCCAAATCCAGAGTCTCATCTACATTAGATGTGAATGAAACTTAAGGCATGATTCATCCAAAGGCAAATTCCCCTCCAGGTGTGAGCCTGTGAAATCAAAACAAGTTATCTCCTTCCAAAATACAATGGTGAGATAAGCATAGGATAGATACATCCATTTCATAAAGGAGAAACAGGAAAGAAGAAAGGGATAACTGGTCCCACATAAGTCCTTACCCCAATAGGTTGAACGACACTAAATTCTAATGGTTGAGAATAATCTCCTATGACTCCTGCCTGGGCACACTGGGGCAAGGGTTGGGCCCCTATGTCCTCAGGTAGCTCCACCCCTGTGGCTTTTCTGGGCTTAGCCCATGCAGCAACTCTCACAGGTTGGAGTCTCTCTTGCCTGCAACTCTCCCAGACTGGCATTGGATGCTGATGTTGCTACAGTTCTAGGATCTCAGTAGTCACCCCACTCCTACAGCCCTACTAGGCCCTAGTGGATACTCTCTGCAGCAGCTGCACCCCACTGGCAGTTCTCTGTAGCATCTTTTAAAATCTAAGCGGCGGCAAACATGCCACCATAGCTTTCACACACCCTGTGCCTGCAGATTTAGTGCCACATGGACACTGCCAAGGTTTACGGCTTGCACCTCCTGGAACAGAGGCCAGAGCTGCATTTGGACTTGCTTGAGCCACAGCTGGGAAGGCCAACGGTTGCTGTTTCAGAACACAAGGAACAGAGACTTGGGACATCACAGGGCAGAGAATGCTGAGGTCCCACAGACACCCTTAGCCCCCCTCTGGAAACCTTTCTGTCCTCAATGTCCTAGCATTCTGGCCATGTGATGGGAAGGCAGCATCAAATGTATCTGAAATGCCTTTGGGATCTTTCTCCTCTTGTCTTTATGAATGGCACCTGGCTATCTTCTAGCTATACTAATCTGTTTATCAAGCTGTCACTTGGCCATAGGGAGTGTTTCAGGGAAGTTTCAGACTTTCCCTATACCTTTCCCCTTCTCCTGAGCCCTGACCAGAATCACTTAAAGCTCCATTAATGGCAATCTAGGCTTTTGAGGCTGCCCTGAGACTTCTCCACAGCCACGCTTCCTACTAGAAGACAGATATCAATGTACTACTCCTCCAAATTCTTCCAGCTTCTATGCTTTACCCAGTTCCAAAGCTGCTTCCACATTTTTATGTATATGTTATAGTCATATCCCACTTCTCTAGCATTCATTTCTGTCTTAATCTGTTTAGTACTGCTATTACAGAATACCTGAAATGAGGCAATTTATAATGAAAACACATTTATTTTCTTACAGTTCGGGGGGCTGGGAAGTCCAAGATCAGGTGCTGGCATCTTGCATGGGCCTTCTTGCCACATCATCATATGGCAGAAGGCATCACACGACAGAAGAGCAAGGAGAGAGCAAGAGGAGGTGAACCCAGTTTCATGATAATGGACCCACTCCCACAATAATGGCATAATCCAAGCAGAGCCCTCATGGCCTAATCACCTCCTAAAGGTTCCACCTCTAAATACTGTTGCAATGGCAATTACATTTCTACATGAGTTTTGTAGGGGACAAACATTCAAACCATATCACACATGGAAGAAATGTAGGTTGTCCTCAGACTTCTCCACAGCTACACTTTCTAACAGAAGACAGATATCAATGTCTAAAAATTATGAGAGAAACCATGACCCAGTAACTTTGTACTCAGTTAAATTTATAAAGGCCACAGAAAGACATTCCCAAGGATGGCTGAGGTCAGGGAATAAAATAACCATGAGGCTCTCTTGAAAAAAAAAAAGATGATAATATGCAGTCTGTCAAGAGTATATTAAAATTAAAATGTAGAAAAGATATTGTTTAAGGATGGTTGTTGTATTTATGAAGATATATTAGTTTGTGCTGCAGTATGAAGCAATATTTGAATGTCAGGAGCTTAGCAAAACAAAGTCCATTTTTCCCCCACAGAATACATCTCCGCAGGTAAACATGGATGTTGTCCATAGATAAGGGACCTGGGGTGACAGAAGCTGCATCTGCTCATAGCTGATCTGTGAACATGCAGCCTCCTCAGTTATTGTGGCTTGAGAAGAGACTGAAGAATCATATATAGTCTTTTCATTGCCTTTGCTCAGGACTGACACGTGCTACTTTGCTCAGAGTCGTTGTTCAGAAAGAGTCAATAGTGCCCTATAGTGAAGCTTGGAAATGAGTCTGAAACATTTTTACTTCAAAAGCGAGGTCACAAGGCCGGGTGTGGTGGCTCATGCCTGTAATCCCAGCAATTTGGGAGGCCAAGGTGAGAAGATCACTTGAGTCCAGGAGTTTGAAACCACCCTGGGCAACATAGCAAGACCCAGTCTCTACAGAAAAGAAAAAAAAAATTAGCCAAGTGTAGTGTCATGCAGCTGTACTTCCAGCTACTCAGGAGGCTGAGGTGGGAGGATCACTTGAGCTAAAGAGGTTGAGGCTAATGTGAGCTTTGATTGTGCCACTGTACTTAAGCCTGGGCAACAGAGCAAGACTGTCTCAAAGGAACAAAACAAAACAAAACAAAAGAGCCAAAAAAAAAAAAAAAAACCCAGCAAGGTCATTATTTTCTCGGAAATGTTAGTGCAGATCCCTGGTTTTTTACTTATAAATTCAAACACAGAGTATATAGGCACATGTACATATGCATGCATATGAATACATGACAATATATACTGTATACACATATACAAATATATATAAAAGGTATAGCATTTACTGATACTAAAGGATTTTGGAAGCAAATAAGTAATATATAGAATGGTAGCTACAATATGATCTATTTTGGGATTTTGCGTATGTGTGTGTGTGTGTGTGTGTGTGTGTGCATTTCTTCATTTGGAGATTATAAAAATGTTGAATTGTTCTCTTTAGGTGTTAAGGTTACAGGCAAACTACGTTTTTCTCATCTGTTTTCCTCAATTTTTCAAATTAACATGTATTACTTGTGCAATTAAGATTTTTTTTTAAAAAGAACAAATGTATCAACTTACATTAATTGTTAAATAGGTGGAGAGAAATACGTATGGTTTTTAAGAACTGCTCAGTTTCCTACTTTGCACATAAAAACGTACTAAGGTAAATTAAGTAATGTACCCAATACCCTGGTGTCCTAAAATTGTGCTTTTACAACGGGCAAAGCAAAAAAATGTGTAACAAATAAATCCATTAGAACTCTTTGCAGAAAGTTTCCATTTTCTCTACCCTTTTCTTAATAAGAAATGTTTTAGGCTCATGTGAATAGGCAAGGAAATTTTCCCAGCTGTTCAATGCCAAAAATTTTATGAAATCTCATCAGGCCAAACTATTTGTTCTCTTTTTCAGTTACATTGCACCGCGGTTTGCATTATTATTTACTAACTAGATTACAGTCTGCAGTTCTTTTCAACTATTTTCCAGTTGCTGCGTTTTTTTTTTTATTTTCCCGTATGAGGATTTCTTTTCTCAAATGCTAGCAATTCATTCATTCAATTTCTGTGCAGAGGGTGAATAGCTACATAGCAATTTCAAAGCCACAGGAGAATGTCAAAGGCGTTTCTTAATCTGTTTTACAAATGATTATAACAGCTGAGAAGGAAGTCCAGGGCAGGAAATCACATTCTCCAACTAGGAACTTATTGTCCATTTAGGTCTAAGAAAAATCTAACTCAGTGAAGATGATTATATTTTCTTTTATTTTAAATATAGAAGATTTAGAAAAGACACACAAAGAGAAGTGCTTAGAGTTATTGTATGAATATTTCAATCTAGCATGGTTTAGAGAACTGGAATTTTACAAGAGAATGCTGCCATAAGAAGACCTTTAGAAATATAGACATGGGAACAGCCAGCTAGATTCCATTTTTTTCCTTGAAACATGTTGCTTGTTTCTTATTTATTTTAGAATATACTGAGTCAGGTAGACCCACTCAGTGAAGGCCTCGACTTTCCTCACCTGTGACTAGAAGCAATAATTCAGAAGTATATCAGAGAGATAGGCAAGAATATCTTATTTCTGTAATACTGCTCTTTACAGATAAAAGGTATTTTTAAATATAACATATATTTAAATATAAATGTACTTGCATACTACATGCCTTTTAATGTTTGAAAATTGTTAATTCTTTTAACTCTAGGATAAGTATTTTATCTTACAAAATAAAATGGGGTTTGCATATTCTTCAAACCCTCTCAATCTTCCTTTTTGCTCCAGCCATTGCTTCCCTAACCAGTTCTGCACCTGCTTGGATGAACCTTGCGCAAGTGTAACCTGACAAAACTTCTCTTGGGCCTACACAACGTACCTACTTATTGCTTTCTGCCCCAGGGCTTCTTCAACAGAGTGATGAGGGATACCTGTGGGAATTCATCTAACACTCAGGCATGTGCAATGAAGTGTTAATACCCAAAAGTCATCCTTGACCAATGGAAGATGGAATCCATAGAGTGTGTTGCCCTTTCTCCTCTAAAGAGGACAGTTCAGGGACTCATTTCATTATACTCCCCAAGGGGTCTAATTGGCATTAGCACTAGTCACTTGCAGTGGTATTCAATGCAATTGGCTGTTATTTTCTTTTTTACTCTCCCTTTCTCTCACTCTTGCCTTCTGTGATTACTTTTCAGTTAAAATATCTGCAAACAATCCTTTGTATCAAGCTCTGCTTTCAGGGAAACCCAGATTAAAATAGAGATACCAAGAGCAACTTCAGAAAGCTATCAGGATAGATTTTGGAAATGGTAATAAGGACAAATTGCTGATGATGACTGAGGTAGATAGACATCATTCCTAGCCCACAGTAGCATCACAATGACAAAGAATCTCACTGGATTTGGGCTGAACTGAGATCCTGGTGGAAGGAGAAGCAAGGAATTGCACTGGAGCTGTGGCACTTGGATGAAATGGAGCTGACAGTAATTCTAAAATTATGGAGTTGCTTATTTTTATTTTCTAGTTTGGAAGCCTTGAAAAATGAAAATAAACTCAATTTAGTCAATTTTTAACTCAAGATATACCTTAAAACCAGAGGCCTTCTATGGTAAGGAAAACCCTTGTCTCCTACCACTGTGGGGGCAGATTGTGCCAAAAAGTCTGCATGCCTGTGATTTAATTAAAAGGGTGGAGAAGCTGCAAAGAAGAATCAGCACATGATCTCAAAAGTCACCTATATAAAAGACATCTCTTGCAAGGCAAAGAACAAGACTCTTGGTCCTGACATGGAGACATTTAGATGGACAAGCTGGAGAGTCTTGAAATCTCAGATTGCCCAGAATCCTAAGAGCCCAATTGAGAAGCACCCTCATTCTTGCTGTCAGAATCATGTTTACCAGTACTGCAAAGACCTCACCTGAGACATACTCACACAAGAGAACTTTTATCCTTCCTAATATCTACTCCTGCTACTCTAAATGGCTGAGGCAAGCTAAGATAATTTACTTTGCTTTTAGTGGGACACACTTATGTGATTAACTGTTCCATCCATGAATAGTTATGTTACTGCAAAACATCCTGGCATAAAAAATGTTTCCATGAACACTCTTGCCATGTGATCTGTTCAATCACTAAAAGTCATGACACAAAAATGGCAGACTAACAGAGGTTGAACTAGCATGTGAAAATGTCTTGTGGTACTGGCACTATGTGGGTGGCAGAGAAGATGCAAATTTGAGAGATATCAAAACACAAATGGATCTGATGAAAATTCTTTCAAATTTTTAAACTTACATATAAAAGAAATTTGATAGAGGTTTTCATGTATTTGATAACAATCCTAAAAATAACATAACATTATGAATAAATTATATAACTGAAAGATATGTTTCTAATCTACCACTAATAAAAGTATCCATTACACTAAGAAAACATTTATTTTTCTATTTTCTTTATGGAAAATATTACAAAATTGTCATATGAAGAAGTGATTGAAGAATATGTAGTCGAAAAAGAGTAACAGTATGATAGACGTGTGGTCGAGCACAGATTTGTTTTTTATTCTCTTTTTTTCTCACGTACAACAGACAGTTTTCTTGAATTGATTAGCTGGTGTATTCCATTTCTTCTTTTGTTAAGTTCTGGGATACATGTGCAGAACGTGCAGGTTTGTTACCTAGGTGTATGTGTGCCATGATGGTTTGCTGCTCCTATCCACCCATCACCTAAGGTTTAAGCCCTGCAGGCATTAGCTATCTGTCCTGATGCTTTCTTTTCCCATGTCCCCACCGCCCACCCCAAACCCCCTGCCGATAGGTCCCAGTGTGTGTTGGTCCCCTTCCTTTCTCCATGTGTTCTTTTTGTTCAGCTCCCACTTATAAGTAAGAACGTGCAGTGTTTGGTTTTCTTTTCCTGGGTTAGTTTGCTGAGGATGATGGCTTCCAGCTTCATCCAGGTTCCTGGAAAGGACATGATCTCATTCCTTTTTATGGCTGTATAGTATTCAATGGTGCATATGTACCACATTTTCTTTATCCAATGCATCACTGATGGGCATTTGGGTTGGTTCCATGTCTTTACTATTGTGAATAGTGCTGCAATAAACATACATGTGCATGTATCTTTATAGCAGGATAACTTATATTCCTTTGGGCATATATCCAGTAATGGGATTACTGGGTCAAATGGTATTTCTGGTTCTAGATCCTCGAGGAATCGCCACATTGTCTTCCACAACGGCTGAACTAATTTACATTCCCATCAACAATGTAAAAGCATTCCTATTTCTCCACAGCTTCGCCAGCATCTGTTGTTTCTTGACTTTTTAATAATTGACCTTCTCACTGGCATGAGATGGTATCTCACTGTGGCTTTGATTTGCATTGTTCTGATCATGAGAGATGTTGAGTTTTTTTTTTTTCATATGTTTGTCGGCCACATAAATTTCTTCTTTTGAGAAGTGTCTGTTCATATCCTTTGCCCACTTTTTGATGTGGTTGTTTGTTTTTTTCTTGTAAATTTTTCTTAAGTTCCTTGTAAATTCTGGATATTAGAACTTTGTCAGATAAGTAGATTGCTGTGATGGTTAATACTGTCAACTGATTGAATTGAAAGATAAAAAGTATTGATCCTGGGTGTGTCTGTGAGGGTGTTGCCAAAGGAGATTAACATTTGAGTCAGTGGGCTGGGAAAGGCAGACCCACCCTTAATCTGGGTAGGCACAATCTAATCAGCTGCCAGCGTGGCTAGAATATAAACAGGCAGAAAAATGTGAAAAGAGAGACTGGCCTAGCCTCCCAGCCTACATCTTTCTCCCATGCTGGATGCTTCCTGACCTCGAACACTGGGCTCCAAGTTCTTCAGTTTTGGAATTCAGACTGGCTCTCCTTGCTCCTTAGCCTGCAGATGGCATATTGTAGGACCTTATGATTGTGTGAAATAGTACTTAACAAACTCCCCTTTATATATATAACTATTCCATTAGTTCTGATCCTCTGGTGAACCATGACTAATACAATTATAAAAGTTTTCTCTCATTCTGTAGGTTTCCTGTTCACCCTGATGATAATTTCTTTTGCTCTGCAGAAGCTTTTTAGTTTAATTAGATCCCATTCATCAATTTTGGCTTTTGTTGCCATTGATTTTGGCAATTTCATAGTAAAATCTTTGCCCATGCCTATGTCCTAAATGTAATTGCCTAGGCTTTCTTCTAGGGTTTTTATGGTTTTTGGTTTTACATTTAAATCTTTAATCCATCTTGAGTTAATTTCTGTATAAGATGTAAGGAAGGGGTCCAGTTTCAGTTTTCTGCATATGGCTAGCCAGTTTTCCCAGCACCATTTATTAAATAGGAAATAATTTCCCTGTTGCTTGTTTTTGTCAGGTTTGTTGAAGATCAGATGGTTGTAGATACGTGGTCTTATTTCTGAGATCTCTATTCTGTTCCATTGGTCTATATGTCTGTTTTGGCATCAGTTTTGGTTACCATGCTGTTTTGGTTACTGTAGCCTTGTGGTATAGTTTGAAGTCAGGTAGCATAATGCCTCCAGCTTTGTTCTTTTTTGCTTAGGATTGTCTTGGCTATGTGGGCTCTGTTTTGGTTCCATATAAATTTTAAAGTAGTTTTTTCTAATTCTGTGAACAATATCAATGGTAGTTTGATGGGAATAGCATTGAATCTATAAATTACTTTGGCAATATGGCCATTTTCATGATATTGATTCTTCCGATCCACGAGGATGGAATATTTTACCATTTGTTAGTGTCCTCTCTTATTTCCTTGAACAGTGGTTTGTAGTTCTTCTTGAAGAGGTCCTTCATTTCCCTTGTAAGTTGTATTCCTAGGTATTTTATTCTCTTTTTAGTAATTGTGAATGAAGATTCAATCATGATTTGGCTCTCTGCTTGTCTATTATTGGTGTATAGGAATGCTTGTGATTTTTGCAATTTGATTTTGTATCCTGAGACTTTTGCTGAAGTTGCTTATCAGCTCAAGGAGATTTGGGCTGAGACAATGGTGTTTTCTAAATATAGAATCATGTCATCTGCAATCAGAGACAATATGACTTCCCCTCTTCCTATTTGAATACGCTTTATTTCTTCCTCTTGCTTGATTGCCCTGGCCAGAACTTCCAGTACTATGTTGAATAGGAGTGGCGAGAGAGAGCATCCTTGTCTTGTGCTGGTTTTCAATGGGAATGCTTCCAGCTTTGCACATTCAGTGTGATATTGGCTGTGGGTTTGTCATAAATAGCTCTTATTATTTTGAGTTATGTTCCATCAATACCTAGTTTATTGAGAGCTTGTAGCATGAAGGGATGTTGAGTTTTATTCAAGGCCTTTTCTGCATCTATTGAGGTAATCATGTGGTCTTTGTCATTGGTTCTGTTTATGTGATGGATTATGTTTATTGATTTGCATAGGTTGAACCAGCCTTGCATCCCACAGATGAAGCCAACTTGATCATGGTAGATATGCTTTTTTGACATGCTGCTGTATTTGGTTTGCCAGTATTTTATTGAGAATTTTCACATCAATATTCACCAGGGATATTGGCCTGAAGTTTTCTTTTGTTGTTGTATCTTTGCCAAGTTTTGGTATCAGGATGATGCTGGCCTCATAAAATGTATTAGGAAGGAGTCCCTCCTTTTCAATTGTTTGGAATAATTTCAGAAGGCATGGTACCAGCTCCTCTTTTTATGTCTGGTAGAATTCAGTTGTGCATCTGTCTGGTCCTGGGTGGTTTTTGGTTGACAGGCTATTAATTACTGCCTCAAGTTCAGAACTTGTTACTAGTCTATTAAGGGATTTGGTTTTTTCTTAGGTTAGTCTTTGGAGAGTTTATCTGCTCAGGAATTTATCCATTTCTTCTAGATTTTCTAGTTTTCTTGCATAGAGGTGTTTATGGTATTCTCTGATGGTAGTTTGCATTTCGCTGGGGTCGGTGGTGATATCCCCTTTATCATGTTTTATTGTGTCTATTTGATTCTTCTCTCTTTTCTTCTTTATTAGTCTAGCTGGCTGTATGTCTATATCATTAATTTTTTCAAAAAACCAGTTCCTGGATTCACTGATTTTTTTAAGGGTTTTTCATGTCTCTATCTCCTTCAGTTCCAGTCTGATCTTAGTTAATTCTTGTCTTCTGGTAGTTTTTGGATTTGTTTGTTCTTGCTTCTCTAGTTCTTTTAATTGTGAGGCTAATGTGTCAATTTGAGATCTTTCCTGCTTTCTCCTGTGGGCATTTAGTGCTATAATTTCTCTCTAACCACTGTTTTATCTGCATGCCAGAGATTCTGGTATGTTGTCTCTTTGTTCTCATTGGTTTGAAAGAACTTCTTGATTTCTGCCTTAATTTCATTGTTTACCCAGGAGTCATTCAGGAGCAGGTTGTTCAATTTCCATGTAATTGTGCAGTTTTGAGTGAGTTTCTTAATGTTGAGTTCTAATTTGATTGTACTATGGTCTAAGAGGCTGTTTGTTATTATTTCCATTCTGTTTGATTTGCTGAGAAGCATTTTACTTCCAATTATGTGGTCAATTTTAGAGTAAGTGCCATGTGGCACTGAGAAGAATGTATATTCTGTTATTTTGGGGTGAAGAGTCCTGTAGATATCTATTAGGTTAATTTGATCCAGAGCTGCATTCACATCCGGAATATCCTTGTTAAATTTTCTGTCTTGTTGAACTATCTAATATTGATAGTGGGGTGTTAAAGTCTCCCACTATTATTGTGTGGGAGTCTTTTAGTCTCTTTTTTGGGTGTCTAAGAACTTGTTTTGTGAATCTGGGTGCTCCTGTATGGGGTGCATATATATTTAGGTTATATATAGTTATATAGTTAGCTATATATAGTTAGCTCTTCTTGTTGAATTGACTGCTTTACCATTATGTAATTCCTACTTTGTCTTTTCTGATCATTGTTGGTTTAAAGGCTGTTTTGTCAGAGACTAGGATTGCAACCCTTGCTTTTTTCTCCTTTCCATTTGCTTGGTAAATTTTCCTCCATTCTCTTATTTTGAGTCTATGTGTGTCTTTGCACATGAGATGGGTCTCTTGAATATGGCACACTGACGGGTCTTGACTCTTTATCCAATTCCTCTGAGCTAGTGGCGGGAAAGACTAAGTCTGCTGGTCCATGGAGACTATGGCCACCGCTCCCTCTAGGGGCTCAGGCCCAGGGAGATCAGCGTTCTGTCCCTGAGCCCCTGGCTGGAGTTAGAATTCCTGCAGGGAGACCCTGCAGCCACAATGTTGGCTGCTGTCCCTCCCCCAAGGAGCTCAGATGCCTTAGACCACAGGCAGCCACAGTAGTGTTGATGGCCACCCCTCTCCCTGGGAACTCGGCAGGCTTAGGCCAATTCTAGCCGAGTAAGTGTTGAGAATCTGCATGGCTCTATGATTGGAGCTGAAGACCCTGGTGGTGTGGGCTCCTGAGTGGGATCTTCCAATCTGTGGGTTGCACAGTTTCATGGAAAAAGCACTGTTTCCCAGGCTGGGTAGCGCACTCACTCACCACCTCCCTTGACTGGGAATGGGGGCTCCCCTACCCCCTGTGGCTTTCAGGAGAGCCACCGCTCCACACTGTTCTTCCTTCCTCTCCATAGGTCATGCCAGCTGCCCAGTCAGTCCTAATGACAGAACCTGGATACCTCAGTTTCTGGTATAGGATTCGCATGCTGTTTTGGATATTTTTGATGGGAGCCTCTGATCATCATGGCTTCTAGTCGGCCATCTTGGCCCCCATGTTTTTTATTTTCTAGTGTTTTGTAACGTTTTCTCAGGCATTCGTAAGTGACCACAGCTGGTCACATTTGAATCTAAGAATTCATAATGGTGATGGGACATTTTTGCGGGATTTAAACCTGGAAGAATATCGTCCCTGGAGCTATAAGCTACTGTCTTTCAAGCATGTAGGGTTGGATAATGGATTCAATACCAAGGAGGCAATGCCTGATAATTAAGAGAAAGATAAATTATTTGAACCCTGGAATGAGCCATATCTGAAAGCACTTTTCCATTACATAAACCAATATATTTCATTTTTCTTAAACATGTTTGAAAGGTTTTTCATCACTCAAAACAGAAAGTGAAGATACACATGCATCACTGTCATCTTGAACACAATGGAAGACAGAGCTTTGTGCTTTCTGATATAACAACCATATCCAATTATTTCCAATGTTGTTTCATACATGGCCCATGAGATCCTGAAGAAACCTTACATTTTCTTCATTGTATAGATTTCTTGTCACTGCCTCAGAAAAAACTTTTTATGTTCTGAGTAGTTTGTTTTCCATGGATAGCAGTCTCATAACCTTGTATTTCTTTTTCATGTTACACATAGATAAATGAGATATATAATAGATATGGATAAATTGATGAGATATATAATAGATAGATATACAATATGTTTTTTTAAATGTCTTTCTCACAAGACATTAAGCTCCATGAGGGGAGGCTTTGTGTATATCTTTATTTTCAGAGTTATATCCCTAGCACCTAGCCCAATGTCTAGCATAGAAAGAATATTACTTGACTGAGGAAATACTGCTTGATGGAATAAATGAATGATTAAATTCAAATAAACATGAAAACCCAAAATCATGTAGTACTACTATGCTAAGTACATGCCTACATACATATGCATGTCTTTTTTTGTTTTCTTATTTTTAGACAGAGTCTTGCTCTGCTGCCCAGGCTGGAGTGCAGTGGTGTGATCTTGGCTCACTGCAGCCTCTACTTCCTGGTTTCAAGTGATTCTTCTGCCTCAGGCTCCCAAGTAGCTGGGATTATAGGTGTGTGCCACCACACCTGGCTAATACTTTTGTATTTTTAGTAGAGTTGGGGTTTTGCCGTGTTGGCCAGGCTGGTCTCAAACTCCTGGCCTCAAGTGATCTGCCTGCCTTGGTCTTCCAAAGTTCTGGGATTACAGGCATGAGCCACCATGCCTGGCCCATATACATATCCATGTATACATATTTACATGTGTATGTGTGTATGTATATGTTTATATGTACGTGTATATATGTGTATGTACATGAGTATATATACATATTTGTGTATATATGTGTGCGCACACACACATGCACATATACAGATATTCAAGAATGCAGAGGGCAGATTTATTTAGGCCTGAGACTCATGTAACAGCCACAGGGTTAAGATCTCTTCCAAACCCCACTTGATCTTAGAGTGAGATAGTGAGTAGAGTACTTGACAGAGAAAGACCAATGCGTGCACTGAATGCAATTAGCAAATTTCTATTTTATTTTATTTTATTTTATTTTATTTTATTTTATTTTATTTTATGTTTTAGTGTTGTATTTCTTTACTAATTACACAAGAAAATGTTTAAATTAGCTTGGAATAATGTGTGATTAAGAATAGCTAAACATTTGAGAGAAGAATGTCATTAAGATCCTAGGCTAAAAGGATTAATTTTTTTTACATCAAGAAATAACACTGAGCTTCTTGGTGAGTGTGGATAGCCTGGGAAAAGGATTACTTTTTTTAAAATCAGGAAATAACACTGACCTTCTTGGTGAATGTGGATGACATGGGAAAAGAGTTCCACAGAAAGAGAAATTATTTGCTAGAATGACAATTTAAACCCAGGGGAGTGGGAGTGGGAACACATCTTATCACTATTATAGTTAAATAAAATTCCTGGGATTTGCCAAATCAACCCCCTTACACACACACACACACACACACACACACACACACACACACATACACACATACACAAGATTTTATTCTGATGTAGTCAAGAAAAAGTAGTCGAGACTTGCAGATAAGACAAAAGAGAGTACAGCATTGTTGTTCAATGACGCTCTGGAGCATTTTGTTAATAGGCTCATCTGAGATTATTAATTCCCTTGGAGAATGTACCTGTGTTTAACTTTGCTATTTGCTGCTTGATTAGAACCCAGAATTTCTGAAGCTATATATTAACCTGGAGAATTTTTTCCCATAAAAAGTCCAGCCCAAAGTTTGTGGTGTTATTGGCCTGATGGACCTGAATAAGCTTTGAATTTTACCTCGACAACATGTTCATGTTTTAAATGTCCAAATAACTAGTTCCTGAAATATTTTTTGAACTAGGTTTGCCATTCTACTGGTTACATAATTAAGTGAGTTAACAAATAGGTGGTACATCTTCATTCCATATTTGTATAACTTTGTGTTTGATTTTTTTGAAAATTATCTTTCCAAAGAGTCTGTGCTCATTGTTATTTATCTAGCATGACAGTTTTGAGAAATAGTGAAGCTATTAGTAAATGTGTTTTGGAATTATCATTTTTCATTAACTAAATGACAAAAAGTATTTTATTTTTTGATAGCTAGAGCACTTTTTGTCTTTAGGTTGAGTGGAACTTATAAACTGGTTCTTCCATGTAACAGGGGGTCTCTCTTCTCACTGAAAATAGGTAAATTGGGGGTGGAGCCAAGATGGCCAAATAGGAACAGCTCCAGTCTAGGGCTCCCAGCTTGAGCGACACAGAAGATGGGTGATTTCTGCATTTCCAACTGAGGTCCCAGGTTCATCTCACTGGGGAGTGTCGGACAGTGGGTGCAGGACATTGGGTGCGGCACACCGAGTGTGAGCCGAAGCAGGATGAGGCATCGCCTCATCCAGGAAGTGCAAGGGGTCAGGGAATTCGCTTTCCTAGTCAAAGAAAGGGGTGACAGATGGCACCTGGAAAATCAGGTCACTCCCACCCTAATACTGCGCTTTTCCAATGGTCTTAGCAAATGGCACACCAGGAGATTATATCCCGCGCATGGCTTGGAGGGTCCTACGCCCATGAAGCCTTGCTCATTGCTAGCATGGCAGTCTGAGGTCATACTGCAAGGCGGCAGTGAGGCTGGGGGAGGGGCGCCCACCATTGCCGAGGCTTGAGTAGGTAAACAAAGCAGCCAGGAAGCTTGAACTGGGTGGAACCCACCGCAGCTCAAGGAGGCCTGCCTGCCTCTGTAGACTCCACCTCTGGGGGCAGGGTATAGCCAAACAAAAGGCAGCAGAAACCTCTGCAGATTAAATGTACCTGTCTGACAGCTTTGAAGAGTGTAGTGGTTCTCCCAGCATGCAGCTTGAGATCTGAGAACGGACAGACTGCCTCCTCAAGTGGGTCCCTGACCCCTGAGTAGCCTAACTGGAAGGCACCCCCCAGTAGGGGCAGACTGACACCTCACACGACCAGGTACTCCTCTCAAACAAAACTTCCAGAGGAACAATCAGGCAGCAACATTTGCTATTCACCACTATCCACTGCTCTGCAGCCTCCGCTGCTGATACCCAAGCAAACAGGGTCTGGAGTGGACCTCCAGAAAACTCCAACAGACCTGCAGCTGAGGGCCTGACTGTTAGAAGGAAAACTAAGAAACAGAAAGGACATCCACACCAAAACCCCATCTGTACATCACCATCATCAAAGACCAAAGGTAGATAAAACCACAAAGATGGGGAAAAAACAGAGCAGAAAAACTGGAAACTCTAAAATACAGAGCACCTCCCCTCCTCCAAAGGAATGCAGCTCCTCACCAGCAACGGAAAAAAGCTGGACAGAGAATGACTTTGACGAGTTGAGAGAAGAAGGCTTCAGACAATCAAACTAATCCAAGCTAAAGGAGGAAGTTCAAACCCATGGCAAAGAAGTTAAAAACCTTGAAAAAAAATTAGACGAATGGCTTACTAGAATAACCAATGCAGAGAAGTCCTTAAAGGACCTGATGGAGCTGAAAACCATGGCACGAGATCTATGTGAAGAATGCAGAAGCCTCAGTAGCTGATTGGATCAACTGGAAGAAAGGGTATCAGTGATGAAAGATCAAATGGATGAAATGAAGTGAGAAGAGAAGTTTACAGAAAAAAGAAACAAACAAAGCCTCCAAGAAATATGGGACTATCTGAAAAGACCAAATCTACATCTGAATGGTGTACCTGAAAGTGAAAGGGAGAATGGAACCAAGTTGGAAAACACTCTGTAGGATATCATCCGGAGAACTTCCCCAATCTAGCAAGGCAGGCCAACATTCAAATTCAGGAAATACAGAGAATACCACAAAGATTCTCCTCGAGAAGAGCAACTCCAAGACACATAATTGTCAGATTCACCAAAGTTGAAATGAAAGAAAAAATGTTAAGGGCAGCCAGAGAGAAAGGTCGGGATACACACAAAGGGAAGCCCATCAGACTAACAGCTGATCTCTCGGCAGAAACTCTACAAGCCAGAAGAGAGTGGGGGCCAATATTCAACATTCTTAAAGAAAAGAATTTTCAACCCAGAATTTCATATCCAGCCAAACTAAGCTTCATAAGTGAAGGAGAAATAAAATCCTTTACAGACAAGCAAATGCTGAGAGATTTTGTCACCACCAGGCCTGCCCTAAAAGAGCTCCTGAAGGAAGCACTAAACACGGAAAGGAACAACCAGTACCAGCCACTGCAAAAACATGACAAATTGTAAAGACCATCGAGGCTAGGAAGAAACTGCATCAACTAACGAGCAAAATAACCAGCTAACATCATGATGAAAGGATCAAATTCACACAAAACCATATTAACCTTAAATGTAAATGGGCTAAATGCTCCAATTAAAGGACACAGACTGGCAAACTGGATAAAGAGTCAAAACCTATCAGTGTGCTGTATTCAGGAAACCCATCTCATGTGCAGAGACACACATAGGCTCAAAATAAAGGGATGGAGGAAGATCTACCAAGCAAATGGAAAACAAAAAAAGGCAGGGGTTGCAATCCTAGTCTCTGATAAAACAGACTTTAAACCAACAATGATCAAAAGAGACAAAGAAGGCCATTACATAATTATAAAGGAATCAATTCAACAAGAAGAGCTAACTATCCTAAATATATATGCACCCAATATAGGAGCACCCAGATTCATAAAGCAAGTCCTTAGATACCTACAAAGAGGCTTAGACTCCCACACAATAATAATGGGAGACTTTAACACCCCACTGTCAACATTAGACAGATCAATGAGACAGAAAGTTAACAAGGATATCCAGGAACTGAACTGAGCTCTGCACCAAGAGGACCTAATAGATATCTTCAGAACTCTCCACCCCAAATCAACAGAATATACATTCCTTTCAGCACCACACCACACCTATTCCAAAACTGACCACATGTTTGGAAGCAAAGCACTCCTCAGCAAATGTAAAAGAACAGAAATTATAACAAACTGTCTCTCGGACCACAGTGCAATCAAACTAGAACGCAGGATTAAGAAACTCACTCAAAACTGCTCAACTACATGGAAACTGAACAACCTGTTCCTGAATGACTACTGGGTACATAACGAAATGAAGGCAGAAATAAAGATGTTCTTTGAAACAAACGAGAACAAAGACACAGCATACCAGAATCTCTGGGACGCATTCAAAGCAGTGTGTAGAGGGAAATTTATAGCACTAAATGCCCACAAGAGAAAGAAGGAAAGATCTAAAATCGACACCCTAACATCACAATTAAAAGAACTAGAGAAGCAAGGACAAACACATTCAAAAGATAGCAGAAGGCAAGAAATAACTAAGATCAGAGCAGAACTGAAGGAAATAGAGACACCAAAAATCCTTCAAAAAATCAGTGAATCCAGGAGCTGGTTTTTTGAAAAGATCAACAAATTGATAGACCACTGACAAGATTAATAAAGAAGAAAAGAGAGAAGAATCAAATAGATGCAATAAAAAATGATCAAGAGGATATCACCACCGATCCCACAGAAATACAAACTACCATCAGAAAGTGCTATAAACACCTCTACATAAATAAACTAGAAAATCTAGAAGAAATGGATAAATTCCTCAACACGTACACCCTCCCAAGACTAAACCTGGAAGAAGTTGAATCTCTGAATAGACCAATAACAGGCTCTGAAATTGAGTCAATAATTAATAGTTTACTAACCAAAAAAAGTCCAGGACCGGATGGATTCACAGCCGAATTCTACCAGAGATACAAGGAGGAGCTGGTACCATTCCTTCTGAAACTATTTCAATCAATAGAAAAAGAGGGAATCTTTCCTAACTCATTTTATGAGGCCAGCATCATCCTGATACCAAAGCCTGGCAGAGACACAACAAAAAAAGAGAATTTTAGACCAATATCCCCGATGAACATCAATGCAAAAATCCTCAATAAAATACTGGCAAACCGAATCCAGCAGCACATCAAAAAGCTTATCCACCATGATCAAGTGGGCTTCATCCCTGGGATGCAAGGCTCTTCAACATACGCAAATCAATAAATGTAATCCAGCATATAAACAGAACCAACGACAAAAACCACATGATTATCTCAATAGATGCAGAAAAGGCCTTTGACAAAATTCAACAACCCTTCATGCCAAAAACTCTCAATAAATTAGCTATTGATGGGAAATATCTCAAAATAATAAGAGCTATCTATGACAAACCCACAACCAATATCATACTGAATGGGCAAAAACTGGAAGTATTCCCTTTGAAAACTGGCACAAGACAGGGATGCCCTCTCTCACCACTCCTATTCAACATAATGTTGGAAGTTCTGGCCAGGGCAATCAGGCAGCGGAAGGAAATAAAGGGTATTCAGATAGGAAGAGAGGAAGTCAAATTGTCCCTGCTTGCAGATGACATGATTGTATATCTAGAAAACCCCATCGTCTCAGCCAAAATCTCCTTAAGCTGATAGGCAACTTCAGCAAAGTCTCAGGATACAAAATCAATGTGCAAAAATCACAAGCATTCTTATACACCAGTAACAGACAAGCAGCCAAATCATGGTGAACTCCCATTCACAATTGCTTCAAAGTGAATAAAATACCTAGGAATCCAACTTACAAGGGATGTGAAGGACCTCTTCAAGGAGAACTACAAACCACTGCTCAAGGAAATAAAAGAGGATACAAACAAATGGAAGAACATTCCATGCTCATGGGTAGGAAGAATCAATATTGTGAAAATGGCCATACTGCCCAAGGTAATTTATAAATTCAATGCCATTCCCATCAAGCTACCAATGACTTTCTTCACAGAATTGGAAAAAACTACTTTAAAGTTCATATGGAACCAAAAAAGAGCCCGCATCGCCAAGTCAATCCTAAGCCAAAAGAACAAAGCTGGAGGCATCAGGCTACCTGACTTCAAACTATACTACAAGGCTACAGTAACCAAAACAGCATGGTAATGGTACAAAAACAGAGATATAGACCAATGGAACAGAACAGAGCCCTCAGAAATAATGCCTCATATCTATAACTATCTGATCTTTGACAAACCTGTCAAAAACAAGAAATGGGGAAAGGATTCCCTATTTAATAAATGGTGCTGGGAAAACTGGCTAGCCATATGTAGAAAGCTGAAACTGGATCCCTTTCTTACACCTTATACAAAAATTAATTCAAGATGGACTAAAGACTTAAATGTTAGACCTAAAACCATAAAAACCCTAGAAGAAAACCTAGGCACTACCATTCAGGACATAGGCATGGGCAAGGACTTCATGTCTGAAACACCAAAAGCAATGGCAACACAAGACAAAATTGACAAATGGGATCTAATTCATCTAAAGAGTTCCTGCACAGTAAAAGAAACTACAATCAGAGTGAACAGGCAACCTACAGAATGGGAGAAAATTTTTGCAATCTACTCGTCTGACAAAGGGCTAATATCCAGAATCTACAATGAACTCAAACACATTTACAAGAAAAAAACAAACAACCCAATCAACAAGTGGGCAAAGGATATGAACAGACACTTCTCAGAAGAAGACATTTGTGCAGCCAAAAGACACAGGAAAAAATGCTCATCATCACTGGCCATCAGAGAAATGCAAATCAAAACCACAATGAGATACCATCTCACACCAGTTAGAATGGCAATCATTAAGAAGTCAGGAAACAACAGGTGCTGGAGAGGATGTGGAGAAATAGGAACACTTTTACACTGTTGGTGGGACTGTAAAGTAGTTCAACCATTGTGGATGTCAGTGTGGCGATTCCTCAGGGATCTAGAACTAGAAATACCATCTGACTCAGCCATCCCATTACTGGGTACATACCCAAAGGATTATAAATCATGCTGCTATAAGGACACATGCACACGTATGTTTATTGCGGCACTATTCACAATAGCAAAGACTTGGAACCAACCCAAATGTCCAACAATGATAGACTGGATTAAGAAAATGTGGCACATATACACCATGGAATACTATGCAGCCATAAAAATTGATGAGTTCATGTCCTTTGCAGGGACATGGATGAAGCTGGAAACCATCATTCTCAGCAAACTATCGCAAGGACAAAAAACCAGACACCGCATGTTCTCACTCATAGGTGGGAATTGAACAATGAGAACACATGGACACAGGAAGGGGAACATCACACACCGGGGCCTGTTGTGCAGTTGGGGGAGTGGGGAGGGATAGCATTAGGAGATATACCTAATGCTAAATGACGAAATAATGGGTGCAGCACACCAACATGGCACATGCATACATATGAAAC
This sequence comes from Homo sapiens, assembly GCF_000001405.40. Lineage (NCBI taxonomy): Eukaryota > Metazoa > Chordata > Mammalia > Primates > Hominidae > Homo > Homo sapiens. The sequence goes on from NC_000002.12 coordinate 149,971,810, forward strand.
AAACCTGCACGTTGTGCACATACATGTACCCTAAAACTTAAAGTATAATAAAAAAATAGGTAAATTGCTCAATCAGTGTCTATACATTTGACACTCACATAATAGGATTCAGCACATCATATAATCCTAATCACCCTCAGATACAGGCTGTGGGTGTTGGAAACTTCAAATGTTGGCCATTCTTGGCCTTTCTTTTTTCCACTTTGGTATTCTTTTTCAACTTTTAAAAGATCAGAAACCAGTAGGCAGCTCAAGGAAGTGACTTAGTAAGCGTTTGGAACCTCTTATTTCTAGATGTTATGGAAGCAATGTGAAATGTGACAGGGTCGCCAACATGGGTGAGTTGTTCCCAAGGCAGGAGGCCCAAGGGGGTGGTATTAAAAATGTCTTCTAAAGCCCTCTTTCTGGCGCCTCTGTCCCTGCAAAGCCAGTACACCATCTGGCATTTAGGCACTGTGCCATTTTAACAGATGGGACTGAGTATTGAAGGCTCTCAGACTATGTACTACCATCAACTGTGGTGTTGGAACAGACATTTCAGTAGAAATACCCAACCAATTCTTTTTCACCTCATCTTTTAATTCTGCAGTAAAAGAAGATGATATTTCTTCCTTAGAGTGAGGAAAAGACAAGAAAGACCTTTCTCTTGGTGTCTGGCGCTATCAGAATATGAGCTGATGCCAAATTTTGCACATGCTACATTATTCACATAGCTTTAACAAACTGACTCTTCCTTTAAAAAAAAAAAGGAAACAGTTATTCCTTTCGAAACAGTTTACGACAGCCTAGATTTTACCCTTATAACTTTGTAGATGTATGGAAGCTTTTGGATGTGAATTAGAAACAAAACAGATTGAGTCGTATTTTTCCCTTTTGGATGTTCTAGAAAGTACTGAAAGGGAAAAACCTATCAATCATCTGCCAGTGGAAAAATTTATATTGGACACTTAATTTAGGCATATTGATACATTATGATTCAAAGGACTAAATTACACAACTCTTTCCCTCAAGAAACAAGTTTGCTGGAGAAATAAAGTATATAACTAAAATGACAATATTTCTTCTTTCATTGGAAAAATATTGAAACTTTTCTTTGGTATAGAATATTTGGAAAATACAGAAATGTGGAAGAAAAAAATCATTCATAGCCTCATCACACAAAAGCAATTTCTACTAATACTTTGGGAGTATTAATCTCCAGGGTATATGTCTTTGTTTTTGTTTCAGTTTCAATGCATGCTCTTTCAGTATGCTTCATGTATTTACGGTCTATTTATGGTATATATCCAGATTTGTATAATACTCTTTCTTAATATGCTATATTGCAAGTATATCTCCATGTTATAATAAATACTTTGTTAACATTATTTTAAAAACTGTATAAAGAGTAGATTAATTTAATGTACCATAGTTATTAAGTGTACATTTTGTTTCAGGTAGTAATATATAAGGCATTTATATCCACAAATCTTTCCTTAACATTCAAAACTACCAACCCGGGTACACATTTTAATTTCAATTTAATTGACAAGGCAACTAAGAGAGCCAGTAGTGAGTAAAATTCGAGGTCTACAAAGTTTGCCTTTTGACTTGTAATACAGTTCTCATTCCACCACACAACCCTGACTCCTTTAGATTGGATATGTTCAAAGGAAAGAATGTTTATTATTTATCTTCCTTCAAAAATGAGTAGTATAGTTTAATCATGAGCAAACATTTACTCCAGTGGGTTCTGATGACACTCCTACTTCTCTGTGTGAAGCCCCAGTCTTCTATCTCCCTAAAGATCCTTCTTTAAGTCTTCTAAGTCCTATCCTATGTCCAGGGGTTACTCCTGATGAAGGGAAGGAAGAATTATCAGTGGCAACAAGTAGTTTGCACCCTGGTTGAGGAGCTCTCTGCAGAATGGAATCATAACTATACTCTGGCAAATTAGTCTATCTTCCCACTTGGTGATTTGGAAATATAAATGTATTACGAGAGCAAGAAATTTATAATGATGAGGATTCTGAATGTATCAAGTCAGAGTACATTTTCTGTACTTCAAGTTTTTCAAAAAACCAAATCAGAAAAATGCATTTATTAGTTTTGTTGTCATATTTTAATATGTGTTTTTCATGTACATGACTCATCTTCCCACCTCATTTTAACATCTTTGAAGTACAGAATCAGATCTCAGTTTCCTAAATATAGGAATCACTACAAAATTCCCATATAATGGCATGCATTATTTACATGTTATAAACTACTTTTCTCTGGACAAAAAGGCAGATAAAATGTTGCACCACTAAATTATTCAGATATTGTTCTGGCCATGTTTGTACTCCTGAAAATTCATCAGGATGCATAAATATTCACACATCTTTTTATGAAGAAGTATTACAGATTATGTATATTTGTAGTAATGTATCATTTTTTTTCTACTATATGGGATTTACACTGTCCTTGAATATCTCATAGCAAAAGTCTGGTATTTTGATAATACTCAGAAGGCCAGCTGTCATGGCTTTGCCACATTATTTTATTTGAGGCCATTTTATGTGTATTGATATTTCAGAGACCAACCTGTTGAAAAGTAGTATTGGTGCTAGAATATTACTACACCAAAACCTATCTTGGTAGAAAATAATTCTGCAAATAAAATATATATTTGGATCTTTTCTTTCAGTTATAGAAATTATATGAACCAAAAAAATATGTGAGTAATTACTGATGGATCAGAGATTCTGGTTGGGAATGTAATGAAATAAAGAATTACTCATTTCTCAAGTGGGATAAGTTTATAGTGGCTATTACTCTTCCATGACAAAAATAGCCACAAGCTTCAATTTTTAATGACCTTGACGGAATAGCTCCCTATGGTTCAATTTTAAAAATTTACCGAAAATACATTTTTGCTAGTGGAAAAGATTATCACTCATATTCTTGCTATTGCAAGCAAAATTTAAAACGTAGGTTTTATTCTAAATGATTCAAAATATTGACATAAAAAATTACAAGAAAACACAGCAGAGTCTTCTTCAAGAAGAGATGAAGAGCCAAAATGCTAGTAAAGAAAGATATGCACACACACCATCTCTCTGGCAAAATGAAATTCTTTCTTAGCTCTACACCCAGTGTCATTGATGCGTGCAGAGAAATCAAGCAAGGGACTTGCTTGAATAATAGTGCATCTTCTGTTGCAGGGTTGTTACAGTTCTCTCATCTAGTACTTATTCATATGGATCTTATATAAAAACTTGTTTAGTCACATTTAAAAACGCTATCATTGATTTCTATGGTCTGTAGTGAAAGCTCTGAGCATTTTCTTCAAATGTCACTTGAGAACTTCTAAAAATCTCTTGCACGTCTATACTCCATCACATGTACAAAAATCTTCACAGTTCATGATAGATAAACAGGCAAGTAACCACAGAAAAATTTTTAATCCCAAACTGACAACAACTGCAAAATACGTTTACAATGAAAACAGAAAAATTAAAATAATGGTATATTCATTTCAAAGAAAACTGCACTTCGGTGAAAAGCAATGACCTACATTATACACATTGACATGGATAAATCTCAAAAGCTTTTATTTCCTAAAAAATATGAATGGATTCGTATAAACTTAGAAAATAGTAATACTTAACAAGTGGTAAAAATATAAATAGAAATATGAAATAATTAACTCAAACAGGTTTTTGGTTAGGTTAAATGCAATCTTATTTTTTTAAAACGTTCTGTTAGGAGATCATATGAGTTTTTTTATTATTACTTATTCTACATAAATTTTATAGAACTTCTGTATGTATGATACTTTCAGAATAAGCAAACATTTCAAAGTCTTATTTAAAATAAGTTACAAAAAATGCTTTACTACAATAATATTATTTAGAATAATAAATAATATAAGGGCATACGAATCATGAGAAATTCTCCAGAGAGCTAGACTTCGGACCCAGGTTGAAATTCCACTGCTGCCACTGACAATAAGAGCTTTGGACAAATTATTTAAATTCACTAAAGGCAGTGTTATTATATTTAACCTAAGGATAATTCACAGCCATTGCTTTATGATAGAATTGTTGTAGGTTCAAATGAGCTCTAGAAAAAATAGGTTAATATGCAGTTCAAATTTAGAGTTTAAAAAAATTTAAATTCATAAATGTTAAGAGAATACGGATTATACAGTCACATTCTATAACATTGAAAACAATGTTTTTTGAAAACTTGGAAACATCTTCAAATCTAAGTCACAATATGCCATGAATTTTTCAGTTGTCACATTTATTTCTAACATTCTGAAGTGTCAAATGCCATTAAGTCTTTGACTATTGATGAATAAAAAATAGCTTTCCACTTTAATATCAATTATAAAACTCAGGGAAAAGCAGAAGTTCCAGAATTACAGCTGATCAATATACCCAATGGCTGTTTTGCTGAAAATCAATTTCCTGAAAATGTCTTTACTGAGGGTTCAATATTCAAAATAGTGAATTCATGAATTGACAAAATATTCCAACTTGCCAACAATGTAGCTTTACCTGATGTACTTCTTCTGTTCCAGAATCCCACCTAGGATACGTGACACTTAGCTATTATGTCTCCTTATGCTCTTCTTGGATGTGACAGTTTCTCAAACTTGCCTTGCTTTTGATGGGTATAAGAGTTTTGAACAGTTCCAGTCAGGAATATATTATAGAATGTTTCTCAAAGGGGATTTGTTTGATGTTTGTCCCATGATTAGACTGGTGTTAGGAGGAGGACCACAGAGGTAAAGGGCCATTTCCAACACATCACTTCGAGGATACACACTAGCAACATAACATTACTGTTGATGTTGACCTGTCAGGTTTCTGACCTGTCAGATTGTAAAATCACTTTTTCTCCTGGTCTCATACTGCACCCTTTGGAAAGAAGTTACTATATGCAGCCCACTCTTAATGAGTTGGGAGATTGCTCCACTTCCTTGATAGAAAACTCTCTACATATCATAAATTATTTAAAATTATTTTGCATTCTTAATTTTTTGTATTTTGTATTCTTTTGAAGTTTGCCTTTTTCAGGATTCCATGTAACCAGAATTATATAGTATGTAACCTTTTCTACTTAGCAATGTACATTTAAGATTCAACCATGTCTTTTTGTGGCCTGATAGCTCATTTATTTTTATCTTTTGTGACACAGTTTATTGACAGCTCATTTCTTTTTATGTTTTGTGACAGAATATATGTATCTATTCACCTACTAAAATATTCCTTTATAAACAAAGATTCTATAAACATTCACATATGGAATTTTGTTGACATAAGTTTGTAAGGTTTCAAATTAGCTGGATAAATGCCTAATAGAACAATTGTATCAAATGGTGAGATCATGTTTAGCTTTGTAAGAAAATGCCAATTTGTCTTCCAAAGTGACTATGCCATTTTGCATTCTCACCAGCAATAAATTAGTTTCTGTTGCTATACATCTTCATCAGCAATTAGTATTGCCAGTTGATTTTTTTTTTAATTTAGCCATTATAGTAGGCATATAGGGGTATGTAAAGGACAATTTGGAACTTGTTTCAAAAATTGAAAATGTGAATACCATCTGAAAAGCAATTACATAGCCACCAATGTATGTAGTACATATGCTTGCAAATAGATGATAGACAGATAGATAGATAGATGATAGATAGATGAATTGATAGGTTTATTATTGATATCTGTATCTATAAATAGTTATGAGCTGCATAACAATGTTTTGGTCAATGATTGATCACATATAAGATGATAATCTCATGACATTATGATGAAGCTGAAAAATTCCTATTGCCTAGTGACATTGGGCCATTATAATACCCAAGTACAGCACATTACTCATCTCTTTGTGGTGATGTTGGTGTAAACAAACCTACTTTGCTGCCAGGAGTATAAAACGATAGCACATAAAATTATGAACAGTACATAATACTTGATAATAGTAATAAACAACTATGTTAATGGTTATGTATTTAATATACTACACATTTCATCATTATCTTAAAGTGTACACATTCTACTTATAAAATAATGTTAACTATAAAATAGCCTCAAGCAGGTCCTTCTGAAGGTATTCCAAAAGAAGGCATTACTATCATAATGGATGACAGCTTCAGACTGCTTCTCTAGATTCTTCCTCTTTGGGTAGGGCTACTCTGAAAGAAAGGCACCCGCCCCAGGCAGGAGCTTATAGATAAAACTCCTATCTCCCTTGGACAGTGCACCTAGGGGAAGGGGTGGCTGTGGGCACAGCTTCAGGGGACTTAAACATTCCTGCCTGCCAGCTCTGAAGAGAGCTGAAGATCTCCCAGCACAGTGCTTGAGTTCTGCTAAGGAACAGACTACCTCCTCAAGTGGGTGCTTGACCCCCATGACTCCTGACTGGGAGACTCCTCCCAGCAGTGGTCAACAGACACTTCCTAAAGGAGAGCTCCAGCTGGCATCTGGTGGATGCCCCTCTGGTGCACCCTCTGGCAGGTGCCGCCCTCTGTTCAAGAGGAAAGAACAGGCAGCAATCTTTGCTTTTTGCAGCCTCCACTGGTAATACCCAGGTAAAAAGGGTCTGGAGTGGACCTCCAGCAAATTCCATCAGACCTGCAGCAGAGGGGCCTGACTGTTAGAAGGAAAGCTAACAAACAGAAGGGAATAGCATTGACATCAACAAAAAGGATGTCCACACAGAAACCTCATCTGAAGTTCACCAACATCAAATACCAAAGGTAGATAAATCCACGAAGGTGAGGAAAAACCAGCGCAAAAAGGCTGAAAATTCCGAAAACCAGACACCTCTTCTCCTCCAAAGGATCAAAAATACTCATCAGCAAGGGAACAAAACTGGAAAGAGAATGAGTTGATGAATTGACAGAAGTAGGCTTCAGAAGGTGGGTAATAACAAACTCCTCCAAGCTAAAGGAGCATGTTCTAACCCAATGCAAGGAAGCTAAGACCTTGGTAAAATGTTGCAGGAACTTCTAACTAGAATAGCCAGTTTAGAGAAGAACATACATGACCTGATGTAGCTGAAAAACACAGCATGAGAACTTGGTGAAGCATATACAAGTATCAATAGCCGGATTGATCAGGTGGAAGAAAGGATATCAGAGATTGAAGATCAACTTAATGAAATAAAGCACGAAGACAAGATTAGAGAAAAAATCATGAAAAGGAATGAACAAAGCCTCCAATATGGACTATGTGAAAAGACCACACCTACATTTAATTGGCATACTTGAAAGTGTCAGGGAGAATGAAACCAAGCTGGAAAATGCTCTTCAGAATATTATCCAGGAGAACTTCCCCAACCTAGCAAGACAGACCAATATTGAAATTCAGGAAATACAGAGAACGCCACAAAGAAACTCCTCGAGAAGAGCAACCCCAAGACACATAATCACCAGATTCACCAAGGCTGAAATGAAGGAAAAATTGTTAAGGGCAGCCAGAGAGAAAGGTCGGGTTACACAGAAATGGAAGCCCATCAGACTAACAGCAGATCTTTCTGCAGAAACTGTACAAGCCAGAAGAGAGTGAGGGCCAATATTCAACATCTTAAAGAAAAGAATTTTCAACCCAGAATTTCATATCCAGCCAAACTAAGCTTCCTAAGAAAAGGAGAAAGAAAATCCTTTACAGACAAGCAAATGCTGAGAGATTTTGTCACCACCAGGCTTACCTTACAAGAGCTGCTGAAGGAAGCATTAAACATGGAAAGGAAAACCCGGTACCGGCCACTGCAAAAACATAGCGAATTGTAAAGACCATCGACACTATGAAGAAACTACATCAACTATCAGGCAAAATAACCAGCTAGCATCATAATGACAGGATCAAATTCACACAAAACCATATTAACCTTAAATATAAATGGGCTAAATGCCCTGATTAACAGACAGACAGGCAAATTGGATAAAGAGTCAAGACCCATCAGTGTGCTGTATTCAGGAGACCAATTTCACGTGCAAAGACACACATAGGCTCAAAATAAAAGGATGGAGGAATATTTACCAAGCAAAAGGAAAGCAAAAGAAAGCAGAGGTTGCAATTGTAGTCTCTGATAAAACAGACTTTAAACCAACAAAGCTCAAAAACGACAAAAAAGGGCATTACATGAGGGTAAAGGGATCAATGCAGCAAGAAGAGCTAACTATTCTAAATATATATGCACCCAATATAGGAGCACCCAGATTCATAAAGCAAGTTCTTAGAGACCTGCAAAGAGACTTAGACTCCCACACAATAATGGTGGGATACTTTAACACCCCACTGTCAATATTAGACAGATCAGTGAGTCAGAGAATTAACAAGGATATTCAGGACTTGAACTCAGCTCTGGAACAAGCAGACCTAACAGACATCTGCAGAACTCTCCACCCCAATATAACAGTGTATACATTCTTCTCAGTGCCACATCGCACTTATTCTAAAATTGACCACATAATTGGAAGTAAAACACTCCTCAGCAAATGAAAAAGAATGGAAATCATAACAAACAGTCTCTCAGACCACTGTGCAATCACATTAGAACTCAGGAATAAGAAACTCACTCAAAACTGCACAACTACGTGGAAACTGAACAACCTGTTCCTGATAGACTACTGGGTAAATAACAAAATTAAAGCAGCAATAAATAAGTTTTTTGAAACCAATGAGAACAAAGACATGATGTACCAGAATCTCTGGGACACAGCTACAGCAGTGTTTAGAGGGAAATTTATAGCACTAAATGCCCCACAGAAGAAAGCAGGACAGATCTAAAATGGACACCCTAACATCACAATTCAAAGAACTAAAAAGCAAGAACAAACAAATTCAAAAGCTAGCTGAAGATAAGAAATAACTAAGATAAGAGCAGAACTGAAGGAGATAGAGACACGAAAAACCCTTCAAAAAATCAGTGAATCCAGGAGCTGGTTTTTTGAAAAGTTTTGAACAAAATAGATAAACTGCTAGCCAGACTAATAAAGAAGAAAAGAGAAGAATCAAATAGACAGAATGAAAAATGATAAAGGGGATATCACCACTGATCCCACAGAAATACTACCATCAGAGACTACTATAAACACCTCTACACAAATAAACTAGAAAATCTGGAAGAAATGGATAAATTCCTGAATACCTACACCCTCTCAAGACTAAAACACAAAGAAGTTGAATCCCTGAATAGGCCAATAACAAGTTCTAAAATTGAGGCAGTAATTAATATCCTGCCAACCAAAAAAAAGCTCAGGACCAGATGAATTCGCAGCCAAATGCTACCAGAGGTAGAAAGGAGAGCTGGTACCACTCCTTCTGAAACTATTTCAAACAACAAAAAAAGAGGAATTCCTTTCTAACTCATTTTCTGAAGCCAGCATCATTCTGATACCAAAACCTGGCAGAGATACAACTAAAAAAAAGAAAACTTCAGGTCAAAATACCTAATGAATGTTGAGGCAAAAATCCTCAATAAAATACTGGCAAATAGAATCCAGCAGCACATCAAAAAGCTTATCCACCACGATCAAGCCTGTTTCATCCCTAGGATGCAAGGCTGGTTCAACATATGCAAATAACTAAATGTAATTTATCACATAAACAGAACCAATGACAAAAACCACATGATTCTGTCAATAGATACAGAAAAGGACTTTGATAAAATTCAACACCCCTTCATGCTAAAAACTCTGAATAAACTAGATATTGATGGAATGTATTTCAAAATAATAAGAGCTATCTATGACAAACCCAAAGCCAATATCATACTGAATGGGCAAAAGCTGGAAGCATTCCATTTGAAAACCGGCCCAAGATAAGGATGTCCTCTCTCACCACTCCTATTCAACATAGTATTGGAAGTTCTGGCCAGGGCAATCAGGCAAGAGAAAGAAATAAAGCATATTCAAATAGGAAGAGAGGAAGTCAAATTATCTCTGTTTGCAGAAGACATGATTGTATATTTAGAAAACCCCATTGTCTTAGCCCCAAATCTCCTTAAGCTGATAAGCAACTTCAGCAAAGTCTCAGGATACAAAATCAATGGGCAAAAATCACAAGCATTCCTATACACCAATAATAGACCAACAGGGAGCCAAATCATGAGTTAACTCTTATTCACAATTGCTACAAAGAGAATAAAATACCTAGGAATAAAACTTACAATGGATGTGAAGGACCTCTTCAAGGAGAACTACAAACCACTGCTCAAGGAAATAAGAGAGGACACAAATAAATGGAAAAACATTCCATGCTCATGGATAGGAAGAATCAATTTTGTGACAGTGGCCATATTGCCCAAAGTAATTTATAGATTCAATGCTATTCCCATCAAGCTACCATTGACTTTCTTCATAGAATTAGAAAAAAACTACTTAAAATTTCATGTGGAACCAAAAAAGAGCCTGTATAGCCAAGACAGTCCTAAGCGAAAAGAACAAAGCCTGAGGCATCACGCTACCTGACTTCAAACTGTACTACAAGGCTACAGTAACCAAAACAGCATGGTACTGGCACCAAAACAGCATTGTACTGGCACCAAAACAGATATATAGACCAATGGAATAGAATGGAGGCCTCAGAAATAACATCACACATCTAAAACCAACTGCTTGTTGACAAACCTGACAAAAACAAGCAATGGGGAAATGATTCTCTATTTAATAAATTGTCTTGGGAAAACTGGCTAGATATATGCAGGAAACTGAAACTGGAAACTTTCCTTACACCTTATACAAAAATTAACTCAAGATGGATTAAAGACTTAAACCTAAAACCATAAAAACCCTAGAAGAAAACCTAAGCAATACCATTCAGGACATAGGCATGGGGAAAGACTTCATAACTAAACACCAAAAGCAATGGCAACAAAAGCCAAAATTGACAAATGGGATCTAATTAAACCAAAGAGCTTCTGCACAGCAAAGGAAACTATCATCAGAGTGGACAGGCAACCTACAGAATGGGAGAAAATTTTTACAATCTGTCCATCTGACAAAGGGCTAATATCCAAGGTCTACAAACAACTTAAACAAATTTACAAGAAAAAAGTAAATACCTGCCTCAAAAAATAGGCAAAGGATATGAACAGGCACTTATCAAAAGAAGACATGCTGCCAAGAAACTTATGAAGAAAAGCTCATCATCTCTGGTCATTAGGGAAATGCAAATCAAAACCACAATAAGATACCATCTCATGCCAGTTAGAATGGCGATCATTAAAAAGTCAGGAAACAGTCCAGGTGCGGTGGCTCACTCCTGCAATCCCAACACTTTGGGAGGCCGAGTTGGGTGGATCATGAGGTCAGGAGATCGAGACCATCTTGGCTAACATGGTGAAACCCTGTTTCTACTAAAAAAATTAGCCAGGCATGGTGGCAGGCCCCTGTAGTCCCAGCTACTCAGGAGGCTGAGGCAGGAGAATGGCGTGAACTGGGGATGTGGAGCTTGCAGTGAGCCAAGATCGTGCCACTGCACTCCAGCCTGGGTGACAGAGTGAGACTCTGTCTCAAAAAAAAAAAAAAAAAAAAAAAAAAAAAAAAAAAAAAGGAAACAATAGGTACTGGAGAGGATGTGGAGAAACAGAAACACTTTTACACTGATGGTGGGAATGTAAATTAGTTCCACCATTGTGGAAGACAGTGTGGCAATTCCTCAAGGATCTAGAACCAGAAATACCATTAGACCCAGCAATCCCATTACTGGGTATATACTCAAAGGATTATAAATCATTCTACTACAAAGGCACATGCACACGTATGTTTATTGCAGCACTGTTCACAATAGCAAAGACTTGGAACCAACCCAAATGCCCATCAATGATAGCCTGGATAAAGAAAATGTGGCACATACACACCAAGGAATACTATGCATCCATAAAAAGGATGAGTTCACGTCATTTGCAGGGACATGGATGAAGCTGGAAACCATCATTCTCAGCAAACTAACACAGGAACAGAAAACCGAACACTGCATGTTCTCACTCAAAAGTGGGAGTTGAATAATGAGAGCACATGGACACGGGAAGGGAACATCACACACCTGGACCTTCTGGGGAGTTGGGGGCTACTGAAGGGATAGCATTAGGAGAAATACCTAATGTAGATGATGGGTTAATGGGTACAGCAAACCACCATGGCACGTGTATACCTATGTAACAAACCTGCAACCTGCACGTTCTGCACATGTATCCTAGAACTTAAAGTATAATTAAAAAAAAAATAAACAAATAACATTAGCAAAAAAATACAGCAACAAAATGAAAAGCAAAAAAGGAGATGATAGCTTCACGCATGTTATATCCCCTGCAGATTTTCCAATGGGACAAGATGTGGAGGTGAAAGACAAGGAGATTGGTGATCCTGACCCTGTGTAGGTATAAACTAATGTGTGTGTTTGTGTCTTAGTTTTTATCAAAACAGTTTTAAAGTTTTAAAAAATTAAAAATTTAAAAATAGAAAAATACGTATAGAATAAGAATACAAAGAAAGAAAATCCTTTTTGTAAGATGTACAATGTGATTGTGTTTTAACTGAAATGTTCTTATAAAAACTTCAAAAACCTTGAAAAAAACTTTAAAATTTTATACAGTAAAAATGTTACAGTAAGCTAAGGTTAATTTATTTTTGAAGAGAGAATTTTTTATAAATTTACTGTAGCCTAATATTACAGTGTACAGCAATGTCCTAGGGCTTCATATTCACTCACCATTTATCCACTGACTCACCCAGAGCAACTTCCAGCCCTGCAAGTTCCCTTCATGGTAAGTATTCTGTACAGACATACCATTTTTTTATCTTTTAATACTATATTCATACTATTTATACTATATGTTTAGGTACACAAATAGTTACCATTATGTTATCATTGCCTATAGTTTTTAGTAGAGTAACATGCTATACAGGTTTGTAATCTAGTAGCACTAGGCTATGCCATATAGCTTTGGTGTGTAGTAGGCTATATAATGTAGGTTTGTGTAAGTACACTCTGTGATGTTCACACAATGACAAAATCTTCTAATGACACATTTCTCAGAACACATCTTTGATGTTAAGCGATGCATGACTCTCTCTCTCTCTCTCTCTCTCTCTATATATATATATATATACACACATATATGACTATATAATGTCTACACACATATAAAACTGTCCTAACTGGAGTATTATTTGTGAGTAAAAAAATATAAACTAATAATGCCCATCACTAAGAAGCTAGTTAAATTGATAATAACATACGTATTTAATAAATATTACATAGTGTTTACAATAATAAGGTATATCTGCAAATAATGACATGAATATATATTGAAAATACATGATGAGATGATAAAAGATCAATTCATAGAATTATATGCAGAGTATGTTTACATTTGCATAAAAAGATATCTATGTAAATACATAGGACTTATCTGCAGGGGTAGACAGCAAACCATTACCAGTGTTTTCCTCTGGAGAAATTGAGAGCATTTAAGTTGGAGTTGTGGTGAAAAAAGAGGCAAGAACAGGAGAATAATTACTTTTTACTTCGTACCATCCTGTAGTGCTTCAATTTAACAAAAATATATTATCTTTTTAATAAAAATTCAAATGCCTTACATTGGCTGTAACTTTTAAAAAACAGTATCTCCCTAGAATCTGAAAAATATGGACTGAGATTATTTCAAAGTAATTCACTTCTTACATTTAAAAAATTAAGCTGAATTTCACTCCAAATTCAAATTCTAATAAAATTTATGTTAAAATTAAGAATAAACGTTAAAATGATATGTGCACAATATTCTTACAACTTGTAGTTTATTCCTAACTTCTGACACTCTTCCTTTTTTTTTTTTTCTTTTGAGACGGAGTCTCGCCTTGTCACCCAGGCTTGGAGTGCTGTGGCGCAATCTCAGCTCACTGCAAGCTCCCCCTCCCAGGTTCATGCCATTCTCCTGTCTCAGCCTCCTGAGTAGCTGGGACTACAAGTGCCCACCACCAGGCCCGGCTAATTTTTTTGTATTTTTAGTAGAGACGGGGTTTCACCGTGTTAGCCAGGATGGTCTTGATCTCCTGACATGGTGATCCGCCTGCCTTGGCCTCCCAAAGTGCTGGGATTACAGGCGTGAGCCACCGCGCCCAGCCCCTTCCATCTTTTTTCAGAAGCTCCCTCCAATATCTGTGGCAATACTCCAAATCAAATCCATTATTTTTAGAATTCAGAAAGAATAATTTGAAGATTTGTAGATGGATGACTGAATATGTAGACAAGGTTAGGCAAGCCTGATGAAATACCTGTGCAAAAGAATTCAGTGTAAAGTATTTTATAGAAAAATAGACTTGGGAAACCTCTTTCTGGAAACAAACAAGAAAAGTAATCAATTAAGCAAACAAGACCATTTCAATCAGTCATCTAGTTGGCAAACAGGTTTCTTCGTGTATTTTCGATGATGCTTAAGTGTACAAGGATTCACTGATTTTTCTGAGTTTAACAGATTTAATTCTTGATTTCCTGTGCTTACTCTTTTGTCCAGGCCAATTATGAAGAGAAACCAACCAAAGATGAAAGGTTAGGTCTGGAAGTTAACGTACTTTTAAGAACAAACCAACCAAACAAAAAACATCATTTCAGTTAATAGTAAACAATAAATTGGAGCAGACATCTCAAAATCCTGCCAGTTGCAACCAGAATTTCTTCCCGAGTTCTGGAAGTGGTTGAGACTCGTAGGAGAATTCAAATGATTCTATGTAGAACCTGCATGCGGCTTCCAATACAGCAAGCTTTATATGTGCGACAGTACTCATAAAATGTGAACATTTGTTGGGAAAATCAATCTTAGAATTTTTAAAATAATAAATATTTGTAAATAATTACAATCATAAATGTGCAACAAGCTATCAATTTTTCTTCCTTTTTTCCTTTTTTTGCCACTCATTTAAAAAAAATGTACCTTTTCAAGTTGCAGGTAGCAACTAATAAAGCTGATGACATGAAAATGTCACTGTTATGGAATGAATTGTATCCCCTCAAAGTCCTTAGTGTGAAGTACTTAGAATGTACTTAACAAACTATATTTGGAAACAGGACATTTAAAGAGATAATTAAGTTAAAAAGAGGCTCTTAAAGTGGGCCCCCAAGCAATCTGACTTGTGTCTTATAAGAAAAGGAGATTAGGAAAAGAAAAAGAGACACCAGAAACACATGCACTAAAAAAGACAGTGTGAGGACACAGCAAGAAGGCGGCCATCTGCAAGCCAAGGAGGGAGGCCTCAGAATGGGCTTGGACTTCTAGGCTCCAAAAGTGTGAGAACATAAGCTTCTGTTGTTTAAGCTACCCCATCCATGATATTTTGCTGCAGCAGTGGAGCAAACGAATATAGTCACAGAAATCTCAGGGTCTTTAGGAAGAATTCTAATTATGAGTCAGAGGGTGCAATGTACTTCTGTGTAAATGCCTAAGCATAAAATGCATTTTAGAAGAAGATTTTTAAGGCAGTACAAGTGTTAAGAGAACAAGCCTGACTTGATACCCAGTGCTCTCTCGAAGGAAATGGGAAGCAATCCATTGTGAGGAGAATACCAGGGCATGAGGGCGAGGATACTTCAGCTTACAGACCCGAGTGTCCTGGGTATGCACCCCCCATGCCCAGAGCCCCTGCGCAGAGAAAAGGCTAAGCCCAGCTACCTCCACAGAGAAGGCCAGAGCCAATAATTCCAAAGGACACAAATGTATAAATAACTCAGCAAAGTCCCCTTAATGTGATATTTTCTAATTATAATTTCCAACATGAAGGCTGCACACAATGTCAAGGTCTGAGATTTAATATTCACAGAAAGCATCTGAGAAATAAGTAGCATGTTTTCTCATCTAGCCTGTTCCTAAGCAGCTTATAGTTTTGGTATCTGACATTCTCAAGTTCAAAGCTAAAACCAGATCAAAATTTTCATTGTATTAAATGACCTCAATCATCATAATCCTGGCAGATTTTAAATATATCAATCTCTTCTGAGTAGCTTCCCCCGACCAACACTAGAACCTTAATCATCTATAAAACTAAACTGAGAGGTGAACAAATTACTTAGAAACGACACTGGAGGTAGAAGACTAAAGGAGAAGCCAGGCATGGGTTAACCCATGAAGCAGGACTGCATAGCAGGATTTAGTCAACTGCTGGAGAATGTCTGCATCGAACACTACTTGTCTAATTTATCTCTTGGTCCATTTTATATGGAGGCTATGTCCACCAGCCCTGGTGCAAATGCTTACAAATGATTCTGTGTAGAACTTGCATGCAGCTTCCAGTACAGCAAGCTCTCTATCTGCAGCAGTACTCACACCATTTGAACATCTGTCAGGAAAATCAGTCTCAAAATTCTTTAAATAATAAATACTTGTAAATAATTACCATCATAAATTTCAAAGATTTCAAAGATTTTGATTGAGTTCTGAGTAGGGAAGGAATGATAAAATCAGAGAAATATGGCTATAAGTTGCTTTTGGAATAATGAAGGGTTTCCATTAGTCAAGGCACTTCTGTGCTACCATGAGCAATGCAAATTGTCTCTTTATAAACACACATCCTATGCAGAGTACCACAAAGTAGAACCAGTATGCATTATCAGCAATTGGAGTGATGTTGGTAAAGTTGTGGTTGTGGTGTGGGTTGGGAGATGATTCTGGAACTTTAGTCTGCCTGACTCTTTAAGGAAATCTAAATTTATTGAGCACTTTCCATGTGCCAACGCCTGTGATAAGCACTATGTATGTTGCCTGATTTAGACATTCAATGAGGAAATGAGCTCAGCAAACTTGGATAATTCATCCCGGATGACCTATCTAGGAAGTCGTGAATCCAGAAACTGCACCCAGGTCTATTTGCTCCAATGTGTCCTCTCTTGAGTATTTTACTATATTTTTGTCTTGTTACTATGATCATTCAATTTATTTTAAAAATTCAACATGGTTAGAAAAGAAAGCATAGATACACGTGAGAAGGTGAAACATGAACTCTACTGCCAGCATATAGGCGAGGTAACTTAGAAGAGTGGAAGGTTGCTCACCTGTACTGACAAGAGAGGTGGCCAAAGAAAATGGAGCCATGAGGACAGACGGACAGCAGCATTGAAGGGAAACTGATTACCTCACTCATCTCTTTACCTCCACTTGTCTACCTGCTCATCTCCACTAATGCCAGCCTCCTCATTCAGGATCAAATATGTTGATCATGCTCTCACTTCAGGCCCTTTGTCCTTGCTGGTCCCATTGCCTGAATCATTCTTCCCCTAGACAGTCTCAGTGCTCTTTTTCTTGCCTCCTGCAGATCTTTGCTCAAATGGTAGCTTCTCCCAGGGCATTATTTGACATTGTATCCCTCTGGCATTCCCAGTCCCTCATTCCTGGCTCATTATATACAATATGTTTATTTTAAAACATCTATTTCTCCCAACATAATTAAAGCCTCTTTGAGGACAGGGATGTTTGTTTGTTATTTTGAATGTTTTATCCTTAGCACCAAGCACATTGTCTGACATATGGTTGGTCTGACATCTGCCCTCAGTAAATATTTACTAAATAAATTCACTAATCAACAAATATCACAAAAATAATTCTTATGCCAAAGTGACATATTTTGGGGTGGCATACCCTGATCCCTTTCAGCTCCTTCCCCCATACTAAGCAAAGGTTACTGTTCTATATGGCTGCAAAAACATCAGCCAGTGTAAAAGCAGTCATTCTATAGGCAAGCAGGCACATTCCTAGTATTCTTTAAGGTGGAAGTCATTCACTAGAGCTGACAAATCTTTGATTCTTTGAACTGGGGAATAATTGTTTTGGTTTCTAAGTCCTGCTTGGGTTGAGCAAACACATACCTGGCTCATTATCAATAACCTTCTTAGTTAGGCAAATAGGTGACAATGTCAATAGGAATTTCAAAAATATGTGTGCTGGCAAAATAAACTCTGCCTTTGGAAACATCATCACAATTTAACTGGTTCTAAGTTACTCAGGCAGCCTAGGTCATTGTGTGCCAATGCACTGAAATTGCCCTTTAACAAAACTGGCACTGGCAGCTAGCAGTCAAAATTGAAATGTTTCAGCCAACAGAGCTGCTTTGGAATCTTTCCCACATACCAATAAATCTCTTGATCTTGGGAAAACATTTCCCGATATTCAGGAACTTTTCTATTGTTCGTTGCAACTTTCCCCAGAGGACACATAAGGCTTTCCTAGACCTTTGGACACCCACATAACCTTCATATACTAAGTGCTCAGGTCAGAAGTAAGCAACATTCACTGGGGGCTGTGATTTGAACACTAACTTTCTGCTTTTTTAAAATGTAAGGGGTGAAGAAAGGGCCTGAGAATTTCTCTGCATTGAGGTGAAGTCTCGTGTATGGAGTTCGAGTCTGCTCTGTCTTCATAGCGACGTCACTATAACATTGTCCCTAATGCACTCTCAGTGAGGAGCTAACTGCTACTGAAAGTTTCAAATTTTATGTAAAAATAAATCTGTGATAATCACCTTTCTCCTGTTAACCAGCTTATTGTTGAAGTTAAGCATTCTTGAAGACACACACATTTGGTAATCTAATGTATGATCAGATTTTGGTGCTCTAAACAAATCATCTTTCCCACAGTATGTTCCTTAAACATTAACTCTATAAGGTCTCATAAAAAGGAAAGTTTTCTAAGACTAAGTGACTTATGAAATTCTGTATCTAATCCTCTTTTGTAGAGTTGTCATATATATTGGTGACCTGAAAAGGGCTACAAAGACTAAATCTGTTTCACTTGGCTTATTCCAGAATTTGCCAAATTTGACTGTAATTCCCCTTTTCTTCTGTTAGATCTAGTGACATTCTGCAGAACTAGCAAGCATTCTAGGAAACTCAACTTTGACAACACTATTCTAAATACAGCAAACACAATCAAATGTTGTTCAGAAGTCAGAGTTCTTAAAACTTCAGCCTTTGGTTTTTCGGCAGTCTCCATATGGGATTATTTTAGAATAGGGGTCTTCAAACTTCTTCTGTAAAGGGACACATAGTAAATATGTTAGACGCTTTACAAGACACATAGTCTCTGTCCTTTGCAACTAGCTACTCAACTGTGCCAATGTATGAAATTAGCCACAGATAATATGTAAACAAATGAGTGGCTGTGTTCAAACAAAACTTTATTATCAAAAACAAGCCACAGACTCAATTTGAGCCATAGGTTGTAGTTTGCAAACCTCTGTTTTAGAGTGGGGCAACCACCTCTCATTCATATCTAATACCTAATCAGTTATCTAATTCATATCTAATATCTAATTCATATCTAGTATCATATCTAGTATCTCTCATTCGTATCTAATACCTCTCATTTATATCTAATACCTAATCAGTTATCTAATTCATATCTAATATCTAATTCATATCTAATATCTAATCAGTTATCTAATACCTTAAGTTATCTAATATTATACCTAATATCTAATCAGTTATCTAATACCTTAAGGGTACATGTAAGATTAAAAAGAAGGTCACTGTGACTTTGTTCGGCAGCCAAACTTGGCCAACCTTAACTTTTAAAAGACTGGAGCATAGTTCACTTAGGTCAGTATATAAAATCCATCTCATGTTAATCACAACCAAGATGAACCAGCATCCTCAGAGAAGATCCATAACTTGTCTGTCGTTTGAAACTAAGAGAACAAGATACAGGTAAGTGCCCCACTGCTTTGATAATTTGCTTTAAAGCAAATGGCCAACTTTAAATGGCAAACTAGGAATTTCCCAGTAAAAAGCAAGTTGATTTACCAGCAGTACTCCAAACTTCCTTTTGGAGGTTAAGTAAAACAGGGAGGTTCTTAGAAAAGGAAATCTGCCTTAAGTACTAGAAAATTCCAAACTCATAATTATTTTAAGTCAAGCCCTATTGCAGAATCAACAGTCTCCATTATGCACAAGGGACCACCCACCAGAAGAGCATCCAAAGATAATAATCTATGAGAAAGGAGACCACAAAAATGCGGATACTGAATTTCTGGCAGGACCTTGGAGCTTATGTTTAAAGAAGTGATTGTCCCTTAGATACCAAGGCCATTTCTCTAGCTTTATGCTGGCAAGTTTTCTATTTATTGATGCTTTATCTTTGTGTGACTCTTTTTGTTAACCCTTTCCAATGCAAGTATTTTGGTTCCCCTGCAGTATCAACAAAAAAAAAAAAAATACATATTTTTGAAAAGCTTTATTTTTATTTTTGTTGAAAAGCTTTATAAAAAGCTTCTAGATTAATAGAATAATAGGATTTTAGCACTGGAAGGAATCTAAAAATACCTAATCTAACTACCTTGAAAAGATCAACGAGGGATCTTGTCTGAGATACCAGATGATCATCCACGACTATCCATGAGATCCAGGTTTCCTGGGTCATGCTGAAGGCTGTTCAGAGGACAGATTCTCAGAGTTGACATTCTAGACCTGTGAAGGTTCCTTGTCAGGTTCTTGACTAGGTTTCTTTTCTCAGAATAAATGACATGTGCAACATCCCAAGGTAGGAAATGTTACAGAATACAAGCACATTTGTTTCTACTTTGTTATAAATCATATGCACACTTTGAAAATAGTTAAGGCTTAGTGCCTAGGATACATGCATTCTCAAGTAGCAGGAGCATTTTGGCTAATACTCAACTGGGAAAGAAAATCTGGCTGTGCCTGCAAAACTAATGATCTGTACATCTTCTGCATAAGTTGGTGTGCATTGTGAAGAGATAGTGCTATTGAGAACTTGGGAAGAGTAAGTTTTGAGGGCAGTTCCCTGGAGGAGAAACAGGAAGTACAGAGGTTTATATTTGTCTCCTTCTGCTTAGATCAACTAGACTAATGCATGAGCTTTCTGCAGGTAGAGGCCAAGAGGATTTTTTCACAAAAGCCTTTATAAAATTTGGGCTAACTGTGCTAACTTGAGGTCCAGAATTAGGGAAAATGGCTTTCTTTCATCTTATCTTCAGCATTGTGAAAGTTCAAGAGAACTCAGTGCATTTGGAGACTTGAGGGTTTTACAAGCCTTGGTAGCCAAAGGAGATGGCAGGCAGAAAAGCTGTTTTTCATAGAGTTGTTGGCAGCTGTGAAGTGTCCACTCAACTAAGCTTGAAGCATGCAGGGGAGGAAAAAAATGTCTTTTCTTTCAATCTTAAGGTCATAGCTGAAACTCCCATAAGAAAAGACAGATTAACAAGTGAGAAGCATATAGATTTACTTAATAGAAGCTTTCTGTGACATTGGAGACTTCAGAGATGAAAACACAAAGAAACAGGGAAACATAAGGTTTGATGAAGAGTGGACAGTCATGGAGAAATATGATAAGACAGAAGGGTATGGGAAAAAACTAAGGGCATCATAGCAAGGCCTGTTTGTTCAGATTCTCCTCTGTCTTCAGGATAAGGATGCACGTTTCCTCTGGGTATAGGGAGGGCACCCTCTATTGAGGGTCTTATGACCTGCTTTAGGGAAGAAAAAGGATGAAAGGAAGGCGAGAGTGGCCTTCCTGCTTCTGCTATTTCCTCAAAAGCTGAGTTGCCATATTTTGGAATAGTGTGTCCTGAACCCATCAGGAAGCCAGCATCTAGAGTCCCTGTGGCCTTGTGGGAGATCTGTCCTTGGGGCAGAGCACCAGGGGATTTGGGAAGGAGAGGGCTCTAAGGCCAGCCTACATTATACACTTGGGGATGAGGTGCCAGCAGCACTGGAACAGTCATATCTATGGGTTCCTATTTTTAGCCACAGACTACAGAATTCTGGGAAAGTTTTGGTTATACTTGGCAATATTAAGATTTAAACTCCACAAAGGAGTTTTAAAATACTTTACCCAAACAAAAGAGAAATTTTAACTTTCTGCAAGTCACGATTCATGTACTGTTGTTAAGCAACCACTAAAAAAGAAAAAAAGAAATAAAGGGAAAAACCCACTGAATTTAAAACTAAGTATCTTAATGAAAACAGTCTACGGAAGGTGTGTTTTGTCTGCTTTCATGTGTTCGTTCTGTAGAGCAAATAACCTGCGGTTAATGTTCCTCTTCTCATTTGGATGCTAAGACACCCTCCCCATCAACAAACACCAAAAGCTTTGTACTAAAGGCAACATGGCCTGTCTATAGTGTTTATAGCACAGGACATTAATTAAAATATAGAGAAACATTGCTTCACCCAACCAATACAAGAACATTAAATTCCAGCAATTCAGAACAACATCACTTTAAATAGTATATGCAAATTAAGGATATTGTGTGTTTTTATTTTAATTGCAAGAGGTAGAGTCTTTTGGTAAAGTGACATTTTGAAATGGTTCTTCTGTTAAATGCTCAAGAGATTTCTTTTCAAAGTGAATAATCATGCTTTGCCCAGGTGGTGAATCTCTACACCCACTAGACTTTTATATACTCCGTTGTTTTTGCCCACTCACTCAGCCACCCACCTACCTGGAGTGGCTCTTCCTCCAAATATTCATGACACCCCGTGGGGCACTGAGAGGTTATTATGGCCATCCTTGGCCTCGCCTCCCAAATGAAGAACGTTCCCGGCTGAATTGCTCTTTCCGTATTTCCATCTACAGCTCATGCTTATTAGAGTGCACACCGTGCCCTCAGTATTACATCAATTTCTGGAGCTGTGTGTGATCTGGAGGTGGCTGACTGGGTATCTGTCATGTGATATGTCTAAGTGTTTCAACCCCGATGGCAGTCTTCCAGCAGCTGGGATTAACTTTCACATTTTGAAGATCAGTTTTCAAAGGTGGAAACCATGGGTGTGCCCACAGCACTACCACATTTCTCATGCTCATAGAAACCCGGGCTTGCCTAAGCCATAAACCCTAACAGTAATGAAAATGCCACACATTCCAAGCCTGTCATCATTCCCCAGCTTTGATTATGCAATTGTAGCCTATGACTGGCCTCAACCATCCTGTCCATCAAAGGACTACTACCCACCATACTTTGAGTAGCCACATGCATCTCTACCTCCCTTTTGGCTTTCGGTCACATTATCAGTTGAACTAAAATGTTCTTCCCAGCTTCTATGTACCCACATTCCATGGTCCCTTCAAGCCCTAATTCCAGATCTACTTCCTCTGTGAGTTCTCTCCTAAATATGCCACCCACCGGGGTCCCACCTTCCTAGAACTTCCTCGCACTTACTTTCTCGATGCAGAGTTGCCTACATTCCCATTTTGCTTGATTACTTGTTTATTTTTCACTCTTGCACTTTTATGTAGCCTTTCTTGTGATTATGGTTTATGTTCACTGTTGTAAAACAGTTGGTTTATGTTTTACTCTTCAGGTTTTGCTAATTACCTTATCTCATTCTGTTAATCAGAACACTTAGTACGGATTTGGGCACAGAGTAGGTGGTCAGTGAACATAGTTCACTGGAAAGACAGTCTCTGTATTTCCACTAGGAGGCTAGAAAGAAAAAACAAAATCTAGATGTTCCTTTTGTAAAATTTGTTGATTCCTCAGAATTAATTGCTACTTTAATATCACACGACACAAATGGATCAAATTCATTTAATCCTAATCTAGTAATTAATTCCTCCAGCAAATAATGTGCCAAGTATGACATTACTGAAATGCAGAGTTTTGATGATAGAGTGCACATCCCAGTTTTTACTTCTCGTAATCATAAACAGTTGCTTAACTGTTTTAAGCCACAGTTTTTCTCCCTCTCCATCTCTCTCTTTCTGTTTGTGTATTTACTAGAAATTTAAATTATCCGATAAAGATATAAATCATAGCGTTTTAAAAATAGCATTTTACAAACAACAAAGAAACATTTTTTGAATCAATTTTCTACACTAGGCTTTATGGAGGTACAAACATGAGAATTTAAAAAATTAGTGAATTCAAGGAAATTCTTGTGAATTAAGAATTTTTTTTATTATACTTTAAGTTTTAGGGTACATGTGCACAACGTGGACACAGGAAGAATTTTTTATCTTTGCCTTCTTACAGCATATTCTTGTGTTTGCTTGTAAGTGTTTTTGTTATAACCCATGCACATTAATGCTGCCTCCAATGCCATTTTTTCACTTCCAGGAAAGCAACTTAATTCATTGATAGCTATTGTTGCTAACCCTTGTGTTCTAAAAATGCATAGGTCTGATAGGAGTTTAACTTTGCACAATTGTTTGGAAAAACTGTCTGTCAGTATCTAGTAAAGCAAACCTATGGCTTAATAATTACACTTTTAGGTATACGCTAAGCAGAAATGCACACATATATTCACCAAAAAACATGTTTGTGGCAGCTTTATTCGTAATACTTTAAACTGAAAATTACCCAAATGCCAATCAACAGTAGAATGGATAAATAAATTGTGGCAGTTTCATATAAGAGAAACCTACACATCACTGAGAATAAAGAAACTACATATCCATCAGCAGCATGGATGAAGTTCACAAAGATAATGTTGGACAGAAGAAGGCAGACACAAAAGACAGTGTACTGTAGGATTACTTACATAAAATAATTTGAGATAAAGGCAACATTTCCCAGGCCCTAGAAAGTTCCTCTTGGTGAGTAAGGGCATAGTGATAGAAGAGAGGCACAAGAAGGTTTCTGGGTTGCTGGTAATATTCTGTTTCTTGATTTGGGTGCTGGTTTCAACTGTGCAAATTCACTGAGCACTTTCCTGTATGTATATTATATTTGAATACAGTTTTGTTTTTTTTTTTAAATCTTCCAGTCTGTCTGGACACTGTATGTTCTGGAATCACTCAGCACTCACTGGCAGGCCACTGGCAATTCCTTTGCTCCTCTTCCATCATGCTGGCATCTCAGCCACTGATCTGACTCTTGCCATGCCTACCTTTTCTTAAGACTCCAAACAGGAGGAAATGGCTGGTTGTCTCTCTCTGATTGTCCCAGTAGATTATTTTGAATTCACTTCTTGACTTCTATTAGCATCAATTCCAGGATTGTTTAGTTTGTGCTTCATTCTTTTCTCCATTTGCTAATTTTTTACAGTAATTTATCTTCTTCAGTTGCTCCTCTTTCTTTCATATCCTTGACTGTTGTGAGATGCCTCTCATCTTTTGCTTTACTTGCATTTTTCTTTTCTTTGGATTGTTACCTTTCCATTTGCCATCATTTCTCTGGTGACCAAGAGTGTTCTATGTATCTGCTGTGTGAATGGCACCATGAGGTGTCAGAGGTGGTCCAACTAGCAGCTGAAGACGTTCGGCTTAAGGAGTGTGTCATCTCCTCATCTAGCAGGGTACATGAACTACTATTTCTGCATTTCTGTGCTTGGATTCCTCTTTATCACATCTGGAGCTATTAAGTATGGTGTAACTGACATTAAAATGCTGGATTTTTTATCTTTGCCTTCTTAAGCACGTTAAAATGCTGCTTAGAACTGTATTTGTAGCCAGCATATGGCAGCCCAATGTGCAGAGCCTCCTTCTCCTGGGAAAGGCATCCAGGCAGATAGATACTTCTATCATCCTGCTTAGTCTTGTTCATCATTATTATCCCTTGAGCACATCCTAATCTGTCTTTCTTATACAATTAATTTAAAACATGGCAATGTCTCAACTAATTTTGTTATTATATTTCAAGAAACAACTATATTTACCAAAATATAGTATGTAAAAATCTTTCCTCATAATGACAGTAAGGGATTATAACCCATTGAATAACATAAGAATGTATGGACCCGCAGAGTTAACACATATACCTATACATAAGTACATGAAAGGAGAGAGAGAAAGTTCTTCCCCATGGGAGGACACCACATAATAAATATAAAAAGAATAATGGAGGTAGAAAAAAAATCAGTGTTTCTAAAGAAATAGAAAAACATTTCACGCTCACGGAGAGGAATCAATATCATTAAAATGGCCATACTGCCCAAAGCAGTTTGTAGATTTAATGCTATTCCTATCAAAACTACCAATGACATTCTTCACAGAACTAGGAAAACTATTTTAAAATTCATATGGAACCAAAAACAGCCTAAATAGCCAAGGCAATCTTAAGCAAAAAGAACAAACCTGGAGGCCTTGAAATACCTGACTTCAAACTATGCTACAGGCCTACAGTAACCAGAACAGTATGGTGCTGATACAAAAACAGACACATAGACTACTGGAACAGGATAGAGAGCCCAGAAATAAGACTGCATACCTCCAACTATCTGATCTTCAACAAAGCTGACAAATACAAGCAATGGAGAAAGGACTCCCTATTCAACAAATGATCCTGGTTAGTAAAACTGGCTAGCCATATGCAGAAGACTGAAACTGGATGCCCCTTCCTTACACCATATACAAAAATCAACACAAGATGGATTAAAGACTTAAATGTAAAACCCAGAACTATAAAAACCCTAGAAGACAACCTATGCAATACCATCCTGGACATAGGAACTGGCAAAGATTTCATGTTGAAGACACCAAAAGCAATTGCAACAAAAGCAAAAATTGACACATGGGATCTAGTTAAACTAAAGAGCTTCTACACGACAAAAGAAACTATCAACAGAATAAACAGACAACCTTCGGAACAAAAAAAAAGTTTGCAAACTATGCATCTGACAAAGGTCTAATATCCAGCGTCTATAAAGAACTTAAACAAATTTACAAGAAAAAAATCACCTCATAAAAAGTGGGCAAAGGACATGAACAGACACTTTTCAACAGAAGACATACATGCAGTCAACAAGCACGTGAAAAAAATCTCAACATCACTGATTATTAGAAAAATGTAAATTAAAACTACAGTGAGATACCGTCTCACACCAGTCAGAATGGCTGTTATTAAAAAGTCAAAAGATAACAGATGCTGGTGAGGTTACAGAGAAAAGGGAATGCTTAGACACTGTTGGTGGGAGAGTAAATTAGTTCAACCATTGTGGAAAGCAGTGTGGTGATTCCCCAAAGAACTAAAAACAAAACTACCATTTGACCCAGCAATCCCATTACTGGGTATATACCCAGAGGAATATAAATTATTCTACCATAAAGACACATGCAAGCAAATGTTCACTGAAGCACTATTCACATTAGTGAAGACATGGAATCAGTCTAAATGCCCTTCAGTGGTAGACTGGATAAGACAAAAATGTGGTAAATATAAACCATGGAATACCATACAGCTATAAAAAAGAATGAGATCCTGTCCTTTACAGGAACATGGATGGAGCTGGAGGCCATTATCCTTAGGACACTAACACAGGAACAGAAAACCAAATACTGCATGTTCTCACTTATAAGTGGGAGTTAAATGATAAGAATCCATAGATACATAGAGAGGAACAACAGACACTGGGGCCTACCTGAGGGTGGAGGAAAAGGATCAGAAAAAATAACTAATGGGTACTAGCCTGAATACCTAAGTGATAAAATAATCTGTACAACAAACATCCATGACAGTTGTTTACTATATAACAAACCTGCACATGTACCATGAACTTAAAATAAAAACCAGAGAACAAAAAAGAAAAACCAATGTTTCATCACATTATATTATGAGTGTATGTTTCACACACTCATCAATGGTGCCAAAACTAGTAGTTGAAAATTTGATGGGGAACAGAGGGTTTGCATACTCTCAAAGTATCTCCCTGCAGAATATCTATTCATGAGAGAAAAAAGTAACTTTATTGCAGAAAAAACTGGCAGATTCCAATTTACCTAACCCATGATCAATCATGGAAAAAACTCAGCCCACTTGCCTTGCAATGTGATGTATTGGGGACTAAACACCACTTATATTCCTGCCAAAAATCTACAAACTGAGTCTAATCATGAGAAGGATCAGATGAATCCAATTGACAGAAAATGTTCTCAAAAAATTAGTATTGGCTGGGTGCAGTGGCTTATGCCTATAATCCCAGCAGTTTGGGAGCCTGAGATGGGAAAATCACTTGGGCCCAGGAGTTAGAGACCAACCTAGGCAACATAGAGAAGCCACTTCTCTACCAAAAAAAAAAAAAAAAAAAAAAAAAAAAAAAAAAAAAATTAGCCGGGCATGATGGCCCATTCTTGTTGTCTCAGCTACTTGGGAGGCTGAGGTGAGAGGACTGCCTGGGCCCAGGAGGTCAAGGCTACATTGAGCCATGATCACACCACTGCACTCCAGCCTGGGTGACAGAGCGAGACCCCATGCCCCCCTTTGAAAAAAGTATCATAAGAGAGAAAGAAAGACAGGAACTTTTCCAGATAAAAGGAGACAAAAGAGACTGAATAATCGAGTATGATGTGTTGTCTTTGATTGGATCTGAAATTCAAGAAAAGAAAAATAGCTATAAAGGGCACTATTGAGATAATCTGCAAAATTTGAATATGGATGGGATATTAAATAATGGCATTTTTATCAATGTCAAATTTCGTGTATTTGATAATTATACTGTGATTACATTATAATATGTACTTGATTTAGGAAATATTTGTTGAAATACTCTTAAAAATTCTCATAATACATAGAACTTACTCTAAAATACTTCAGGAAGATAGATAGATTGATATAGATAGACAGATGATAGATGGATAGTTGATAGATAGAGGAATAGACAAATACTAAAATAGTAATAACTGGTGAATTCGGGTGAAGGCATACAACATTCTTGGGAACACCCTTTCAACACTTCTTAAGGTTGATATTCCAAAATAAAAAGTTAAAAATAAGAGTGGCACATAGCCTTTGAAATTTTTTTTATAAGATGGGGCAGGTATAAGTTTAAGAAAAGCAATACTCTTTCCAACATATTGGAAATTACCTGATTCCCAAAGACTCCTGTTCCTGATATCTGAACTTCAGGCAGCACATTGCTCTGTCACCTCTACTGAGGTTATCATCAATGAATGTCCCACGATAAGATTCTGAAGTGGGTACTTTCTGATTACCTTCTCTCATACTGACCCTCATTACATGTTGTTTTTTCAAAATTCAGTGAGGTGGTCTTTGGCCTTTGCTGGCCTTTGGCCTTACTGAATTATATATATGTATAATATATATTATATATTTGTATATGATATATGTATAATATATATTATATATTTGTATATGATATATGTATAATATATATTATATATTTGTATATGATATATGTATAATATATATTATATATTTGTATATGATATATGTATAATATATATTATATATTTGTATATGATATATGTATAATATATATTATATATTTGTATATGATATATGTATAATATATATTATATATTTGTATATGATATATGTATAATATATATTATATATTTGTATATGATATATGTATAATATATATTATGTATTTGTATAGGATATATGTATATATATTTCCTTCAACTGGTTTCCTAAGTATAATTATTCTTAACAGCTAGACAGCATTGAATAAATACTTGCTTTCTTTCATATCAAAGCAAGTTGGGATCAGCAATTTATGAAATTTGGATGCATTTTCTAATTTTTATTCTTAAAGCAGTCTTAGGAAAAGGGTGTAGTGGTTTGTTTGGAGTGGGGCTAAGGGCTTGGCCATCTGAACTTATCTTTCAGAAATCATCCTTGTGTGGCTCTTGTTGGAAGGCTGGCCTAGGCCTCCCTTTGAGATAGCTGTGAAGAGCTGGTAAGAGTTCTTCTTCTAGAACTTACATGCCTGAAGCATGTGGTCTAAATTTGACCCATCTGATGCTTCTGCCAGGAATTTGGCTTCAGGACCAACCATCCCAAAGAAGCAGGATGGGTGGAACGTTATTTTGGTGGCAGCATTTCATGTCCAGTGTGCGGGAGCAGTGGTGACCCTGACAATCCTCCAACCATGCAATATCTTGGTTTGATGTGTGTTCTCAGACCCCATCTTTCTTGCTTTCTTTCTGTTTCCAAATATGGGTCTCCAGACTCTCAGCTGATTCTGTGAGCTTCCTTCCCTTCAGCAAAGCGATTTCTGACCTTTGTTTCTGAATTTGCTATGTGCTGTTTGTTTGACAGGTCTAGTTTATATTTTAACAAGGAATCGGAGGTTCCCAGGTATAATAAACTACCCAAATTTGCACAACAGGTGCATGTCTAAGAAGAATTTTACTTCCAGTTCATTGGCTTCAAAACCGGTTTTTATTTTGTATTACTAAATCATTTTCAAAACATGTTTTCATATTATTAATACTGTGGAATTTGCGAGCCACTCATCAATAATGAAGTTACCAACTAACAGAGATAGGAGAGCCATGTCAGTGTTCTCCAGCCAAAATCCAACTGCCACATTCTTTGTTACCTCTCAGCAAACAGAACGGACTGCTTTTTGGACATACGTCATTGTGATTTCTTTGTACTGGTAAAAAAAAAAAAATTCATTCTCTATGCTTTCCCTCCAGGTGACCTTGGAGCATGTTGTGTGTTATTCTGTAGCTGCAAATCTTTCTGCAAAGATGATAAAGATGTTTCATAATGGAGATTTTCTATTTAGCAGGGCTACCTCGATATTTTGACCCTGATCTTTGTAAGAATAGGTAATTTTTTTAATGCAGTAAAATAAGTCATTGGTATCAGTTAAAAAAAAAGTGCTTTAGAATATGTTTGATCAAGGAGCTGTGCTTGTGTGCTCTTCTTTCTGTGTGAGAGCTTGTGTAGATGCTTCTGGCCCAAACATGTTTGACATTCTGATAATCTACAGGATTGGAAATGCTGCTTCTGAAAGAAATACATTGTAGAACGATGAAGAATGCCCTATTCAGGTCTTAAGTGGCACCATCTGTGTGTCTCTTAAAATATGGGTGCCCTGAAAAGCTTTGTCCCCTGAGAAAAATGTGGCTTCCCACAGGCCCCTAAGTACAATGATGTGTGAGGTGTTTTTCCTCATGCCCTTGGCTGGGGCTCTTTGAGAGGCTGACTTGAGAAGAGGCAAGCTCCACTTAGTTGTGCAAACCCTGGGAATAAAGATACACTGCCTGATGAAGAAGGCAAAATCCCAGCTGTCAAAGCAGAAGTTCCAAAGTGGACAGAGCCCTTCTTCATTTGCATGTAAATAGGTTGAAATAAACATCAAAAGGCAGGAACAGTGCCTACATGGTCACTGACGAGAATTTTAATTTTTGGTTTTATCTAGCTTGTCTTCTTGATTCCTTTCAGATGCGATGAGGGTCACAGGAGACTAGATGAAAAGACTGAATGTTATTCTAGAAACTGCCCCAAATTTTCCGCGGATGCTTCTACTACTGCACCACTCAAAATATTTTTCATTTGCAATTTAAGATTTTCAAAAATAAATATATATTTAAACCAATCATATATCACAGCCAAATCTCTCAAAGGAATATATTTAAACTTTGTTATTTCAAAATAACATATATGTAGATATTAATAAAATTTAATTCTAGTAAATGCTTTTTTCTACTTCTGCTTTAGGAAACCAATTTCTTATTGAAATAGTGTAGCAGCCCCTAAAACCTAAAGATAGACAGATATATATGATACTTATTGCACCAATTTCAAATTATTAATTTGAAAATTTGTAGTTATTCCCAGAACATACTTAATACCACCAACTTTCCTGAATGTAAGTTCAGAAAATAGAATCTAACCATGCTGAATAAAGAAAGCAAGTCACTCTCCACTTCTGACAATAAAATCATCGGTAGAATTTAATTTACAAAATTATAAATCTTGATTTTGATAATAAGATGTAATACAATTTCTCCTTTTGTCTGATTTTGGATTGTAGAATACTTAGAATGATTCTTCCTTGATTAATCCAAAGAGCTCCAGGTCTCTGTTTGCACACTAGGAAGGAATCCCTCAGTGAGGTCTGCTCACATGGCACTGGACTGCCCTCCCAATTAGAGCACCACACTTCCCCAGGCACATGGTGTCTGCATTGTTCATGTCTTTTGAAGCATTGCACAGTGTTTAGTGTGGTACTTAGCATGCAGCAGGCACGCCATGTTGCCAGTGGCCAGCATTTACACACTTCCCACACTGATGGACAAAATCTTGCTGAGTCTGGATATTTGTATCAGTCAACCCTGAATTATCTTTGCTTAAATATCTATCAGCAGATTTTCTGGATTATCTTTATCAGCTTTGCCATATGGGGAAAAGCACTAAGACTTCAGTTTTCTTGTTTATAAAATGAGGGAGGCATACAAAATGATGTCTGAGCACTCTCCTACATTGAAGGGCTGGGATCCTCTTATATCTAATGACCTACCAAATATCTATCTCTACTGGGTGTCTCACTGGCATGTTTAATTCAGCAAAATCCAAACTAAACTCCCTTTCACTCCAACACCTCAGTCTTGTCCTTGTTTCCTTTGATGGAATTGAAAGCCTTTTTCCTCTTTGAATCCCCCTTCTCCTATGTGTTGATATCCAATCCATTGCATGGCTCTCCATCTTCTTTTGGCTGTACTTTCTTTCCAGTTACACACTCCCCATTAACACCGAGACTGCCTGGCTCAAGACATTATGACTGCCTTCAATAACTATTAATTTTTCTGTCTATAGTTTTTCTACCTAGTTAAGTAGATACATATTTGCAACCACTATCCTTTGTAATAATATCCCAAACTACCTTGCTAAGTATTTGCCTCCTCTTTCCAATGTTTTCTATAGTCCAAATAACACTCCATGCTGTTCCATAACAGATTCCAAGTTTCCTTAGTCCAGCCATTTATTTAATACTTCAGTTGAAGGTTTCTGTCCTCTCTTCCTCTCAAATTCTGCCTGTCCTAGAACTTTATTGCAATTGCCATGACATCTTTTTTCATAAAAAATTCCTGATCCTTTAAGATATGATCACACTATCCTTTGAATTGCACAGTATTTTATGTATATCATGTACATCTTCGTATGGAAATTTTTGCACTTATCTAATAAATTTTTAAATACCACGAGTCCTGTTGTGTCTTATTCATCTTTTTATGCTTTTAGGACTCTTTCTTAGTATCTTGTACATAGAAATTTGCAAAGAATTTGTTGAAGGAAACTGAATTTAAGTTTAAAAGATTATCTAAATAATCATTTCATTGCAAGTTATAGAAACACACATAAAAGAGCTCAAGAAAAGGAATAATTTTCTGGATAGAAATATATCACAGACCTTAAGGGCAGACAGATTTCCCTGCTTCCAACAGTGTATGTGTTTCATTACTTTTTTCTCTCTCTTTCCAGAACTGTTGGCATCTCTAAGCCCAGGATAACATAACCTGAGGGATGCCCTCCTTGTTCAAACCTCCAGCAGAGATAAACTAGAGTCTGAGTTCACACCAAATTGTCAGAAGAAAATTTGATTAACTCCTCAGTTCAGGTGTCTACTGCTCGCTCAATAAACTTTGAACAAGGGAGATACTCTTGTCCAGCCAGCTGCCCTCTCATTAAGAACGTTTGAATCAAAGTCTCTGAAAAGAGAACAGAAAAAAAGTGGCTTAATGTGTTATCAGAGAAAGGGACACGATTGGCACACAACCTAAGAAGAACCACTCCAGAACACTGGCAGAATCTAACTTTGACCATGTAGATATACAGGTATATCTACCTGTATTAGATATATCTGTATGTATTAATACATACATGTATTAGAATTATTCTAAACTTCATGTAGACCCACAAAAAGACAATAGTATCTGAATCCCAATATGACTTCTGGAGCCTTCTGTCTTATTCTGCATAGCACATTGTATCATTGTCCTCAGTTATTTGCACTAAGTCTTATGAGAGAGACATGTCTCAAAAAGAGATATAGATGTGGCTGTCTGTACATGATACTGGCTGGAATTAAATAAACAGCCAACTTAAGTTTTAGAGAAATTTGTACTATCAAAAGAGCCACTGGCCCACATTAGAAGAGATTGTAATTGGGCCAGGCACGATGGTTTATGTCTATAATCCCAGCACTTTGGGAGGCCAAAGCGAGTGGATCACTTGAGGTCAGGAGTTTGAGCCCACCCTGACCGACATGGTGAAACCCTGTCTCTACCAAAAATACAAAAATTAGCCAGGCATGGTGGCGTGTGCCTGTAATCCCAGCTTCTTGAGGGGCTGATGCAGGAGAATCGCCTGAACATGGAAAACAGAGGTTGCAGTGAGCCGAGGTCATGCCACTGCACTCCAGCCTGGGCGACAGAGTGAGACCCTGTCTCAAAAACAAACAAACAAACAAACACCACTATAATTGTTTGAGATTTAAACAACTTTTCTCTCCCAATCTTCAATAGCAGGAAGCAGGCCGAGGACGCTACACAGCTTTCAAAAAGGCACATTTCCAATGCTGTCTTCGTATGCAGCCAAGAATGATCATGGGAAAGGAAGGCCCTCTCAGTGTGGAGTTAAGAACCCGTGGGGTAAATGGTCTAGCAAGTGACTCCCAGGGAGCATACCCAGGAAGGAGGCCCTTGCAAAGCTTAACCAAAATTACTGAAAAATTTCAGAATTGCTGTAGACAATGACTGCTGTGAGCCTCACATTTTCCTCTTTTTTAATGGAACAATTTATTTTGGTTATTTTGTCCCTTATTTAACTGTTGTGCACGTGTGATGGGGAAGACAGGTAACTATTATTCAATTTTTGTTTGAAACTCATAGGTCTCTGGATCAAAAGAACCCCCATCTCTCCCTGATATAGATAACATCATAACATTTTGGACATTGACCTGATGCTATAACTGGGTTGGATAGGATTTTGGAATTTCTTCCTTGGAAAGAAGGAGAGCACATTTCATTTAAGGAAGAAACAGAAACAAAAATTTGTGACCAAAGAGTAGAATGGGTAAGTCGTGTAAAGAACATGACACTTCCTAATTATTTGCTGCCACTTTATGTATGAAGATAATTTCTCCTCATCCTTGCCTATTAGGCCTGGCCATGTGACTTGTTATGGTCAATGAAATGAAGTGGGATTAACACAAGTCACTGCTGCCCGGAAGACTTAAACAGCATCTCATGGATCTGTCATTGATTTTATTTATTTTCCTGGCATAATACTGTACGTCCCAGATAGGAGCTCCTTCTTCAATTTGGCTCCCAGGATGAAGACAGTGTTGTGTGTAACCATTGCCAAATCTGTGCCGAACAAGTAATATCAGTAAGAAATAAACAACATTAGTTACTGTAAGATACTGATATTTGGAAATCGCATCATAAAAGTTGATGGATGCAACCTGGTGGATGAAGTAATTTTTAAAATGGTTTACAAATGTGCTATCTCTTCTAGATTTGCCCCCTTAAAGAGTGCTAAAGCTCTCAAAATCCTAGGAAAGGACATAACAAAGTCATATAGTGGTTTTCAATTTATTTTATTCCTTCCACTTTCCTTAATTGTTCCTTTCTTTATTCTCCCCTGTCTCCCTCCTTTCCTCCCTATTTAAAGCATTGATCCTATTTAAAAAAAAAAACTCAGTAAGAAGGGCAATATTAAATATCTAACAGTTGAGCTGTTCTGAAAATAGAGGAGGGGAGTGAGGGAAAGTAAGAACTAAACACTTTCTCCTTTGCTTCCTCACAGACCCTCTTCACACTTGATATGCTTGAGGTAAGGCTTTTTGGGTTCCTTCAGGTTAGAGCATCAAAGAGGTTTAAGGCCCAAGATAGGAATGTGCACAGAGCCTCACAACTTTTTTGTGAGCCAGGCAGGAGGCCATAAAGTGCAGTTGGCTTCAGAATAAGACAGATATGGGTTTGAATCTCTGCTCTGTTACCTATTAAAAATGACCCTGGGCTGCCTCTTCAGCATCTCCAAACCTCTATTTTCTCATCTCTAAAATGGGAACATTGAAACCTGCTTCATAAAAATATTGCGAGGAATCGATGAAGCAGTAAGTTTGCATGCAAAGTATTATTATTTTTTCTTTGTTTTGAGCCTGTTTTCTTTCCAACATACATGTCTTCACCAGAATCTTGGAAATTTTAGTAGAAAAATACATTTGAAGTAGTTTAGTTCTCACCTTTATTTTATAAGGGTGGTCACCTTGCTAGACATAAAACCTGGGTCTCCTGTCACCATATGTGGTATACTCCTACTGAATCTCGGAAGATCTCTGGGTTTAGGGTTGCATGCCTTAGTGTTGCATGAAATCCTTGTTGTATTTACTGAAAGTTCTTCCTTATGTTGGAGTAAGCAACTGGTTGGTTTCACTGACATTCCTGGACTGAAATGCTCCTACTTAGCTCAGCAAAACCCAGCAAAGCATATCAGAAACTGAGAAAACTGTACTTTCGGGTTCAAATTGTAATTGATTCTGAAGAACTGTAAAATGCTAGTGTGAAAGATCCAGTTCCTCATTTCCCTGAAGACTTCTCATACCCAAATGACAGACAGTTGGTGTTATAAGATGAGAGGACTGAGACTAGCCATTTAAAGAATAGCTATCATGTCTCTTCTCTGGGATAAGAGAAATGGATGTGACTTCAACATCAAACATTTTCCAGCTAGCAGCAAGAGGGCCCAAGAAAGAAACCTACTGAGCAATGCAGCTCTGACTTGTCAGTTTTATGAAAAGGGTGCATGACTTGTGTGACTTGAAACTCAAGTATGTCCCTGAACTGCAAGGCTTCTTAATCATGTAATAGCAAGATTTTACTTCCAAGGCAGGAAGCAACCACATTTGGGTATGATCAATCAAGCATTATTTTGGCATTTCTCAGCTTGCCATTTTAGTAAATTTGCACAAATTTCTTTGGGGCTGAGAAGGTAGCTGGTAATAAAAACACTTAAATTGAAAGTTCTTTAGAGGTTGCAGCCTCTGCCTACTAGGTCTTAGATTTTTCTCTCCACAGGACTTAGTACAATACTCAGAAAGCCAGGGCAGCACTAAACTAAATGTTCTCTTGAAGACCTTCATGCCCAAATCTATTTATTGATGCAAAGAGAACACATTTAAAAGGTCTTCGCTTTTACTTCCATTTCAGGCCATTCTAATACTAAATTGGAATTGAGACTCTTGCATGAAAATACGTGCTTAATCAATTCTCTACTTTCATTTTGAAAGCTTGTTGGGATCCCAATAACTTGGTGTTCTTCTCTAGAACTAGTGATATTTCTCTGACACACTTGGGCTGAAGTGATGTGTTAGCACCTCTGGTTCTTGAAGCAGAGTGAAAACATTAGGCCTGGGGGTGAGATGGCACAGAGAGGTGCAGGGTGGGGTGCCAATCCTAGTTTAGTCCATGGAAAGTGAGTTGGGAGAGCGGCATGATGTCCTTCTCCTCTGAGGCCTTGCTAGCATATCCAGTGAAAAATGGCTGCCTTCAGGTATCTGCCTTCTCACCTTTGACATACAATGGTGAAGTGACTTTGTTCTAGAATTCCACACTGTGGCTAGGAGATGTGAATAGACAGCCCCAAAGGAAGTAAATGTTGCCAACTTCAGCATTACAAGCAGGTTTCAATGTTTCTGGAGAAAGTCTAGTAATAAGTTTGGAAGAGTTCCAATAGGTTTTCATTCAACTTTGTACTTAACTTACCTCAAGAAGCCTTTGTCTCCTCTTTGGAAAAAAAAAATGAGAAATTATTCATACCTTGTTACTGAGTCTACCTGATAGACAGTGGGTGTTTAACAGCTATTAGTTTTCTTAACACTCCTTAAATGATTGAAATAATTCTGGAAGTCTGGACGGCTCAGCTTACCATATTTTCAGAGTTATCTCAAAAAAATTATTTTTAGATTGCTCCTTTTATTGTCTTTGCCTTTTTTCATTTTAGCACCATTTTATTATACACTTTTATATGTTTTTAAAATATTCTTGCATTTAGTATAATTTGTTTTTGTAATGTACACTGTTCCACTGGCCAGTGGCTGTAGTCTGAATGCATTAATATTCACAGTCTAGAAAATATGAAAATTCTGGCTGCTTTACCTGGAGGTGGGTCCATTTGTGTTACATCAAATGTTGCAGAGATGTAGGGTCTAGGCAGCTTTAGAGTTAGTGTGTTAGACAATGTAGTAGAAGAAAATAGGAATTGTGAATAGTGTGGAATTGCCCATAGTCTAGAGTTTTCCTGGGACTTTCTCGGTGTGGGAACCACAGAACACCAGCAGAATCACTCATGTTTATTTTTTTAATGTCAATTCCATGAACATGTTATATTAAAATAGTCTCCCTATTTAATAAATGGTGCTGGGAAAACTGGCTAGCCATATGTAGAAAGCTGAAACTGGATCCCTTCCTTACACTTTATACAAAAATTAATTCAAGATGGATTAAAGACTTAAATGTTAGACCTACAACCACAAAAACCCTAGAAGAAAGCCTAGGCAATACCATTCAGGACATAGGCATGGGCAAAGACTTCATGTCTAAAATACCAAAAGCAATGGCAACAAAAGCCAAAATTGACAAATGGGATCTAATTAAACTAAAGAGCTTCTGCACAGCAAAAGAAACTACCATTAGAGTGAACAGGCAACCTACAGAATGGGAGAAAATTTTTGCAATCTACTCATCTGACAAAGGGCTAATATCCAGAATCTACAATGAACTCAAACAAATTTACAAGAAAAAAACAAACAACCCCATCAAAAAGTGGGTGAAGGATATGAACAGACACTTCTCAAAAGACATTTATGCAGCCAACAGACACATGAAAAAATGCTCATCATCACTGGCCATCAGAGAAATGCAAATCAAAACCACAATGAGATACCATCTCACACCAGTTAGAATGGTGATCATTAAAAAGTCAGGAAACAACAGGTGCTGGAGAGGACGTAGAGAAATAGGAACACTTTTACACTGTTGGTGGGACTGTAAACTAGTTCAACCATTGTGGAAGTCAGTGTGGCAATTCCTCAGGGATCTAGAACTAGAAATACCATTTGACCCAGCCATCCCATTACTGGGTATATACCCGAAGGACTATAAATCATGCTGCTATAAAGACACATGCACACGTATGTTTATTGCGGCACTATCCACAATAGCAAAGACTTGGAACCAACCCAAATGTCCAACAATGATAGACTGGATTAAGAAAATGTGGCACATATACACCATGGAATACTATGCAGCCATAAAAAAGGATGAGTTCCTGTCCTTTGTAGGGACATGGATGAAGCTGGAAACCATCATTCTCAGCAAACTATCACAAGGACAAAAAACCAAACACCGCATGTTCTCACTCATAGGTGGGAATTGAACAATGAAAACACATGGACACAGGAAGGGGAACATCACACACCAGGGTCTGTTGTGGGGTAGGGGAGGGGGAGGGGATAGCATTAGGAGATATACCTAATGTTAAATGAAGAGTTAATGGGTGCAGCACACCAACATGGCATATGTATACATATGTAACAAACCTGCACGTTGTGCACATGTACCCTAAAACTTAAAGTATAATAATAAAAATAAAATAAAATAGTCTCTGTGGATGAATCCTGGGAATCTGATTTTTACTTTTAACAACTCATGTGATTTTTGTGAATATGAAAATCTGAGAAAAAGTACCTATGTTATATTGTTAACATAACAAACGAGGACCCATTTGTTAATGTCCCAAATTACTCCCTTTGGCTAACAAAATAGAACGGTATTGGAGGCTCCAAGCAAAGTATGCTTGGAGTTAAGCAAAGTGTGCTTGGAGTTGGGCCAGAAAATGAACAAGAATTCACCTAAAAAACATGATGAATTTTCCTGATATTTCAAATGTATGTGAGGATTTGGGAGAAAAGTTAACGTATTCATAATAATGCTTTGTAATTTTTTTAATGAATGTATTATGAATCAGAATATAAGATTCACATGACTTAAATAAATACAGATGTCTTCTAAGAAATATAAATATCAAGTTGTGGTAAGTTTCTATGGGCTTCTTGCCAGAAAGTCTGTTGTAGCCACTCACCCTCCTCCTGTTCTGGACACTTTGCAGATAAAGAGGAGGGGATTTGACTGACAGGATCAGGAAAAATAATAGCAACTGATTCTTTTGAAATATATATCAAAACCTTTATTAATAAAAACACTGTTAATTTGTCTACATTCCTCATTTATTAGAAGAGCAAATATCAAATACTTAAATCCAGTGACAGATTTTTTTTTTAAATTTAACTTTCAAAAGAGTTCGCCTAGGAGATAATCCAGTATCATCTGTCTTCCACACCTGTATAGCATTTTCCAAAGATAACTGAGGCCTCTAATATCTATAACTGAGGCTTCTCCAGATGACTCTCAAGATGTGCAAAGTCCTCATTTAAACCAGAGGCCTTCCCCTCTCTCAGACTTGGAATCCTTCACCGACTTATTTTTAGTATTTTCCTATGTAACTTTAAATTATCCCCCTCTGTTTTAAGGAGATCATTTTTAAGTGCAAATCTGATGTCTTTCCACTTTCTTTCACAGTGTTTATCACCCCCACAGTACAAGTCAGATGACCCAATATTGCATATGTGCTATGGCTCTGTCTTTTCATTCCTAGACTCACTTTCCATTGGTGTTCTAAATTGTCTATTTGTTCTAATGGTGCTAAACCAATAGCAGCGTCTCAAATACGCCATGCACCTCCACCCCTCTTTACCAAAGCATGTGTTCTTTTCTTTGGGGGGATAACTTTCTCACTGATAAACTCAACTAAAATGGCCTTGCTGAAGCTTGTTTTCATGCCATGTTCCCACTTGCAGTTAGTAGTAATACTCTTGCTACTTTGTCCCTATAGTACCATGAAAACAACTATTGCATAGAAATAAACACTCTATATTCTAAACATTTATGACTAACAACTATTCTGCTGAATGTTTCTGGAAGCCATTAAAACATAGAATTCACCTTTCTATCTTTCAGAGTGAGCCCAGAGGTTAGCACTCAACAGATGCTCAAAAATACTGATTTGAGAAAAATTAAAATATGTTATTTATTTTAAATCTACACATATAAGGAAATAGAATTTCCTATAAAAATATTAGGTGGACATGGTCTGTTGTAGGCAGATTGACTTGAGTTTTAATTTTATATTTTCTGAACACTAACACTGTGGTTTTGAGCAACTTACTTTATCTTTCTGTGGCGGTTTTTTCCTCTATAAAAATAAAAATAATACAGACACGGTGAAGATAAATATTTTTTAAATCCACCACAATATTTGAGACAATAGTCAGTAAATTTACTTTCTTTTTTCCACTTTCCAAAGGGTTGAATGAAGAAAGTGCTTTTGTTTCTTTGATTGTTTAATACCAAGTCAACCAGAAAATCTAATTAAATTAAATGGACAACCAAACCCCCAATTCTCCAAGCTTTGCAGTTGATTATTACTGCCGTGTATGTTCTGATAAACAACAAAGGCCAAGGGTTTTTGTTTGTGCTGACAAGGAATTGGAACTGGTAAGTTTCAAAATAAAAAGTTTTCTAAGATACATGAGAGCATCCTTATCCACTGCCCAGCAAACTCATCATATTTTCTATAATCTGGCACAGATCCCAGAGCTCACAAGATACATATAATGGTTAAGCCTGCTGGAAATCTGTAATATTTCTACTGTATCCTGGTAAAAATGACCTTGCACAGCTGGCTCGGTAACTGTGATACACTGGGAAATTTCTTCATCCAACATGTTTACAAGCCCACTTCCACCCATGGGGACAGGGGGAGCCAATCTGAATGGACTGATATTAATCTTGACCATGTGGGAACATGAAGTATCTCAGAAGTTAGAAATTCTCCACACACAGGCAATTTGATTATTTTGGTTTTAGGTTAGCACAGGCTATGGTTTTGGTCTGTTTTATTTTTAAAGGTTAAAAATGTACTGTTTCTTTTTCCAAAAAAGTATATGAATTTCCAAGGATTTTCTAACCATGTTAGTTTTGTTAATTGGTTTGGATACTTGTGTGAGAATTTCAGACAAGACCCACTTGAAATGGCAGTTCTGGTCTCTGAATCTTGTTGGAAAGCTAA
This sequence comes from Homo sapiens, assembly GCF_000001405.40. NCBI lineage: Eukaryota > Metazoa > Chordata > Mammalia > Primates > Hominidae > Homo > Homo sapiens. The sequence goes on from NC_000002.12 coordinate 150,013,613, forward strand.
ACACTAAGGTCAGTATGCATCTAGTGAAAAGTAATTTGGTGAGGCTGGAGGTAATGGGCTTTTATCTCAAAGAAAGGACAGAAAATATTTTGTAAATGATTATGAACAATCTAGATTAACTATAAACTGTCAAAGAACTTGCTAAGCTAAGGTTTAACTAAAGGAAGTGAAGGCAATGGGAACAGGACGATGATCAAGAATAATATATTGACTTGCCATTGGAGCCCTGATATTTTGACCCTGACATGAAGACCTCATGACAATTCTGCTCACACTTTTCTTCACATTAGTTAAATAAGTGAATGCCTTAGAAAATTGAGCTATTGCAAGACCCTGGGGATTGGCAGAGACAGGACCCAAATGCCAGAGCACGAAGGGCTGATTCTCATAGTGCAGAAGCTGAGACTTCATTCCAAATACCTTTTTTATGGAGAGTTATACAAGGGAATGTTCCCCTTACGTTGCATGCTCAACTGTAAGTGGGAAAAAGCACTACCAATTTGATTTATTCCTTAATGTAAAACCAAAGTGACTTCTTGACCATATAGCCTTGTCAGACATAATATGTTTGTCTGATTATTTACCTGATTGATTGATGGTGATGTTTTGCTGCAAGAAACTGAGGAGTATTTCCTATTGAGAAAGTTTCATGTTTGTCTTTCCAATAATTCTTTTGAATATAAATATTATAATTGAATACTGAGAAAAGGGTCAAACCAGTGTGAAGTCTCTTCGCTGTTGTTAACACCAAATTCCCTAGGAAAGATTTCACTCCCAAATGAGTGGTTAGGACAGTGTACCTGGTAGCATCTATGCTGTTGGTTCCATTTCATCAGACAGTACCATTTACTTATATTGTTAATTTACATTTGTGTTTGCTCTGCATTCCTAAAATCACTGTAATTAATACTGAGCTAGGACAAAGGAGGCTGCTTCTATGTTGACTCCTCTTTACACCTCCTCCACTGGCAGGGAAGTTTCCCTATATTTATTTATTTATTTATATTCCAAAATTATAGTAGGTGCACAGGATAAAACAAAAACAAATAGTAAGAGTATTAAGATTTAATTTTTTTAAAAAATTAAAAATCTCCTTCTACCAACCCGCAGCCTTACAAAGGATAACAATTTCAGATTTTGTTTTCTGTGGTTAGATTCACAACACTAAATTATGTATTCATAACTCAATTTATTAATTTGTCAACTTCAGACTTTATTTACTTCCAAATATGAAAGAAGAGGAATGTAGCCCTATTTCAGTCTCCCCTTTCATTCTCTCATGCTTTCTACTTTCAGTTCTTCTGATGGTTAACATGACAATTGTTAAACACACATAAATATATGTTTCTTAACCCACCAATTTTAGACAGACTCTATTGCCTTCACACTGTCTAAGATGAGAAAACAAATACACAAGCATTTTCTCCTACTTCTCTTTTTCCATATCTCCCTGTCAACTTTGGTTGGTTGTGACTTTGCTTTTTCATGGCCAAAATTTATTTCATGTATTCTTCTCTGTAACTGTAATAAAGTTTTCTACTTTAAATTGGTTGAAAACCAGTGAGTAGTATTTACAACATGTTTGTATTGCAAGAACCAAATAGTGTGATTATACTCATAGGAAAATAAATATGGTTGGTGTTATTCAGCTTTTCACTTGAATAACAATGTTCCAAATTTAAAGTCAAATAGAGTTTCCTGCTGTATACTCCATGATTGGTGTAAAGTCATGCAAAATTTTACTTAGCTTCATATTTAGCCCATGCCTTTCTTGAACAATATTTTACTTTCTTTCATACAGAAGATAGGGAAGAATAATTTATTCAAGAATTTCACGGACTTGCCATTAGTGATTGTCCTGATTATAGCCCCTTCCTGCTTTCTGGCTTTGGGATCAGCTGAACTTGCTGAGCCCTTCTAAGTGAAGATAACTGTCCTTCCCAGTGTGATTGACTTGTGTGCAACTTTGAAGTACAATCTTCTCTGTAGAGTCAATTCATTAATATGAATCTATCTACATTCTTTATTCTAGGAGCTTACCAACATTTCTAATCTATGGATGAATCCTGTATTAGTATTAGTTTGGGTTCTCCAGATAAACAGAACCAAGAAGATGTATATATATAAAATATATGGAATTGACTCGTGATTATACAGTATGAGACATTTTAAGATCTGCAGTCAACAAGTTGGAAACCCAGGAGAGCTGATGGTGTAAGTTCCAGTCCCAGTCCAAGTCTGAGGCCTAAGGCAAAGGAAGACCCATGTCACAGCCCAAAGATGTTAAGGCAGAAGGAGCCAGTTCTCTCTTACTCAGCCTTTTGTTGTATTTAGACCTTTGACAGATTGAATGAGGTCCACTCACAAGAGGGAGGGCAATTTGCTGTGCCCTTGTACTAATTCACATGTTAATCTCATCCAGAAACACCCTAAATGACACACCCAGAATAACATCTAGCCAAATATCTGGGCACCCTATGGCCCAGTCAACTTGACACATAAAATTAACCATCACAGATTTTGTTCTCATTTTCAGTTCCCTTATATCTTTTGTGACATTTCCATGGAATTTTTGCAAGAGAGGGGAAATAAACACAGTCTATCCCTTTGAAACAGAATTATTGCCAGCTTCCTGGTGCTAGAGTGATAACTAACATGATTATTTGTTCTTCTAGGTAATGCCCGCTGGTGCGCAGCCATTTCTTCCTCTCTTTTTGTCCCCTATTCTGTATTGAGGGGGCTGAAGTCTGAAATTGCATTCCCAAAAACTCTCTTTGTAATTAGTTCCTATTAAATTTTTCCAGTAGGAAGCATTTCAGTGGGACTGCAAGGACTAAGAAAGAGAATGTCTTTCTGCTTCCGGCCAACAGTAGGAGTAATAGTCAACAATTACAGGTGACTATGGGTGACTGTGATCTCCAGCAGTCAGCAGATCTGGGAATAGCAGGAGGAGGAGTGGGGATGGCAGGTGACCATAGGCTCCAGTGGCATTGATGGCAACCGTCAATAGTAAATGCATATTTCTGGACTTTGGATAGCGCTGTTTTTTCCCCTTTACTCCACTCAATGAAAATCTTTGCAGCCAATTCCATGTATAAAAATAACCTCTATGTGAAATATTCAGAACATTTCTGTTTTCCTGACTAGACCATGACTGATAGGCTCACTAACGTTATATATCTTGCTTTTCTTTGAGACGATGTACTACAGTATCAGTACAAAGGAAAATTTAAAGGTAAGAGATGATTACCAACTTTTATTTGATGCTTTCTACTCAAAATAACCCTGTGGTAAATATTATTATACCCATTTGATGGATGATAGCACAGATTTGAATATATTTATTTGGCCAAAATCTCACAATACAAACTGCCTTCCAAATCAGATTCTACTCTTTTCATCTGAGGAAATTACATTGATGTGTTTTATTCCATTTTGCACCACTATGAAGAAATATCTGGGGCTGGGTAATTTGTAAAGCAGAGTCTTATTTTGGCTCATGGTTCTGCAGACTGTACAAGAAGTATGGTGCCAGCATCTGATTCTGGCAAAGCCTCAGGAAGATTTTAGTTGTCATGGAAGGGAAGGGGATCTGGTGTATCACATGGTGAGAGAGAAAGCAAGAGAGAGGGGGTAGTTTCCAGACTCTTTTTTTAACAACCATATCTTTTGTGAGCTTATTATCATGGGAAGAACATCAAGCCATTCATGAGCGATCCCCCTGCCATCACCTAAACACCTTCCAGTAGGCCTCACCTCTAACAATGGGCCATCAAATTTCAACCTCAGATTTGGAGAGGACAAACATCCAAACCACATTACAATGTTTGATACAAATCATAAGAAGAGGAGACGGCATGTGAATAACTTGAAATTTCCTTCATACTTAAATTTTCTTTGTCAAATGAGAAGCCTTCTAATCACCTTGTATTCTTAGACTTTGGAAAGGTGATTGGCCTTTGATTAAAATAGCCCAGAACATGAGCTTCAGCAGAGCTCTGAAAGACAGACAATTCAGGTGGTAGATATGGTGGTTGTTCTATTACTTTTTAGTCATTGATGTTTTTTAATAGCATGGTTTCTATTTTTGTTGTCTGAATAGTAGATTGAAAAAAATCAAACCTTTTCTTAGAAGATGTTGCTGTTTCCATTAAAGTACTAAGGGAAAGGAGAAGGGAAGAATCATCTTGTACCTGACACAGTAGCATCACTGTATGCAACTGAAATTAGCAAAGTTCCACTTGCTTGTAGGTTTCAGGCAGTAAAGTCAAGCCAGTGACCTTGCTTATGCCAAATTAGGATGATCTTTCCTAACTGAATATTCTTTCACCAACAACAGAGGAAGGAGATCAGCTTAGGGAAGGTTTATTCCTTGGAACCGTTTTTAGAAAAGTAAATTCCAGGAAATTACCAAGCATATCTTCTAGTTTCCAGCATTTAACGTGACAGATTTTATCGATTGCCACCTTCCCTTTAAACTGTAATGCAAAACCAACAGTGTTTTTAAGAGCTCCTACAAACATTTAAAAGAATAACCCATTTTAGACATCGCTATACCTGTACTTGTATTTGTTTCCCTCTGCATACAGCCACATAACCCAGGTAGAAGAGAAATCATGCTCTGCTCAGGAATGTAAGGATTTTTTTATGCATGCCTACCGGTCCTTTCTCTGCTCATTGACAGCCTTCCCTTCACAGGACTAGGAGAGTCCGAGTTAAGTAAGGAAAGATTAAACACACAGGGACTGCTGTACCCTGAGAAGTATACCAGGTCCCTGGAGTCATTGCTCCTGGTGCTGACTATGAAGCATCTGGATCTCCTACTTCCAAATGAGTACTTCTAGAGATCATACTCCACTGGCTTCCACTTTATTTAAGTTTTAATATGGTGCCATATGTATCATTGTTTTAACTATAAGGAAAGGGAAAATGCTGTCTTCTGAGACAAATAATAGAGCCCTGATAATGGGTTTGCATTATATGTATGCAAGCAAAACTCACTCACCACTTGAGAAGAGTTCCTTATTTACAAAAGCCTGCATTCAAATAGTCACAAGTACCTAATTCATCCTAGTGCACACCCAGACGGTTTTAATTTTGACAAAAATAAATTAGCAAGAAATTAAGTCTTAAATTAAATGACTTAAAATTCAGTGGCTTTTTACTTTTGAAGTTTCATTACCCTTTGCAGAATCATAAGATCACAAGTGCTAGAAACGGGAGAAATTCTAACAGTAAGTTTCATTAAGTTGATAGTATTAGCAAAAACAATTTGAAAAAAAGGAGGAAACGCAAAGGCTCTATTTACTAATGGGGCATTTTCCAGGTTGTTTTTCTATCCTTCTAAATTGAAGGAGAGGCACTGATGTTCAATATGTGCCTCGATCAACAGACTTATCTGGCTTTGGTTGAGTTTTCTCTGACATCAAGGTAGTAGTTTTTAAAATAGCAGCAGCCTTAATTTGCTAGGCAAAACTCTTATTTAAACATAATGTGCTTAGTTAATAGCCCACACTTTACAAGACTTTTTCCCAAGTATGATTAGTCAGACCTATGTAAAATTTGTTCCATAAATAGTGGAACACCTGCAAGATCCCATATTACAAGCAGAATGGTAAAGCTGGACAGTTCCTGTGCATTTACTTATTATAATACCTTCATTTTGGGACTGTAATAACCAAGGCCAAGCAGGATTAGGTGGCAATTCAATACCGCCCAACTTGTAGTAGCAGAGCTCCTTAAAGCTATATTTTGAAATTAGTACATTATTCCATGGTAGAGTTTATGTGGTTCTTCACTTGCCCAGAGGAAACTCTGTTGGAGAGGCGTGGGAACTCTAGAGCGACAAATACCAAATGCAGAGCATGCACTGAACACCAATCAGCATCATTCTGCTCCTGGCCACTGCAGGTTGCCCAACTGAAAGCACATGTTTAGCGTATGAAGATGTAAGTTTGTAAACAAGGTGTCCTAATGTCCTTTGTATAAGAACTAGAGAGAAACTCTGAGTACGGCAAACATTTTTCTAACTCAAAATGAAGATACATGTTGTGAAGGATGTGAATATATTTAAGGCTATAATAAGCCCATACATGAGAATCAGAACTTTCCTCTTCAATTGAGGACAGAGAAGTTGCTTTATTATAGAAATAGTCTTTTGTTACAATTGAATATTGCCTAAAGAATTCAGAAAAAAAAAATGCTGTTAAGAATGAAAATCAGAGGATGTGAATCCCCTTCACTGTTACATTCCTGGTAACCAGCAGTGCTTTACAGTGGGGAAACTCACTTCTTACCATTGATCCTGGGGTGTAGAATTTAGAAAGAGGTGATTAAAAGGGTATGCCACACTAGAATGAAGTAATTGAGGTATTTACTTTGAGAGCAAAATTGAAGGGGCACCAAAATTTCAGAAATCAAGCTAAAGAATATTTTGATACAATATTTTCAAAAATAAAAGTAATGAAATAAATTCATGCTGAACAAAATATCCATGTTTTGGGTGAGGACAAGATCTGACTCTGTGCCTGCATGAATTCATCTCATTTATGTCACTTCAATTCTGGCCTTGCCATACCCTGGTTTTAGGTATAATGTGGATATTTTGTTAATCATGGATTCTTTTGCATTATTTTTTAAATATTGCATTGGAATATTATTTATCTTGATTACTGAATTTTTTGATGTCCCTTTCAACTTTGCTCTGTGGTGAATGTCTTATACTACTCACCTTAGTCCTGGTCTTAACTAGCGTGCTGCCTTACATATAAGTAAAAGAAGGAAGTTGTTAAAAGAATCATTGTGTGGTGAATAAATTAATGAATCACTATGAGAGTATCTTGTTTCTTTTTCTAATGACCTCTCTACAAATTTCTCATTGGAAGAGACAGAAGTACATGATATGTTCCAGACTTCTTATGTTGACAGGGCCATCTTTCTCCATGTTTTGAAATAATATAATACATGTTAAAAACTTAATTGCTTAAATTATCCCATTATAACTAATTAATTGTCCTCAGGATGTTAAAGGCGCATATGGGAATTTCCATTCAAACCACAAGGACTCCTTAGCGTATTTCTACTTTATTCTCCAGAAAACAGTCCCTTTAGCTCCAGCATGTGAGAGCTGTCAGCTGGATGGTGGGTAGAAAGCGTAGTTCATCAAGCACACTCAGGAGTCTACAAAAGTGAGGCAAGATTAAAAATGGGAGCATACCATACACAAAATCAGGAATTTAGAAAGGAAATAAGGAAATAAGGCATACGGGAACTGGGACAGATATTCCACTGCACTTGTATGTGCATGTGTATCTGTGCTTTTGTGTGTTTGAAGGAAGAAACTTTTTTGCTTCAGCTGTGTATTCACTTCAGTCACCATGTACCGAAAAAAAAAAAAGTGCAAACTTTTCAATCTAAGTTTTGCAGCTAAAATATTTTTCTGCTCAAGTCTTTGAATGACTCAACTAAAATCCTGGTTCTCAGATCTGCTTCTATATGGGCTGAGGAACAGGGAAGTAGTAATAGACAAAGTAGAAACAAAAGCAAAACCCAAAACAAAACACCCTCTGTGCTTCCCTCGGGACACGGGAGTCCAGTCCACTGTAAATTAAGTACATGTAAGGTGAGAGTGGAACAGAGTGAGAACTGAAATCCAGAATATCAGCTTTTTCCTTTGTGCTGAGTTAAGCTCAAGAGGGGAAGAGGAGGAATTCCTTCTGAACTCAAAGGTGTATTCCTCCTCAATGACACACTTCAAGCTTTGTAAAATCATCCAGAATGTGATTTCTGTAAAGCAAGGCCAAAGCCTCTTGACAGTCACAGGGAATGGGGTTTCTTTTATCACTGACGATAGCAAGACCTACTTTTTTGCTCTGGACAGCTCCTATGAAAATATGGCATTCAGAACTGCTTCCCTGTTTTCCATCTCTTCCTCTTTACCTTTCCTTTGCAAGTTAATTTCTTTCTCCCTCTAGGTAAGAGACAAAGTTGGAAGGCGCTGGCTGGACACTAATTGAAGGAAGCAATCAAAGAGCTAGATAATGGGACAGAGAAGTAAAGAGCCTTTTGGGAACCCCCATGCAAAATCCTCTGCAGGAAATAGCATTTTAGCAAGCCCAGGAACGAGTTTCGGTGTCTTCCTTTTTCTGTCACTTCATCTTGCTTATTTGGGCTTAGGCAAGAAAGAGCATATATAATGCCATTTCTGCTTCTGTTACATAAGTACAAAGAATGAGTTTAGACCTAAATTGGAAAGTGCTTAGGATTGAAAGAAGGTGGGAAAACCAATCAACCCATTTTTCTATAGAACTAATCATCTCCATGTCAGAAATGAAAACCAGCTGATTTTCTGAGAACTCTAACATGCAAGCTAATTTTTCCAAAATTGTTTCGTGGAGCAAGTATGACCAGAGGTTAATATGATAAGATGTGATTTTCAGTTTTCCTCCAGTTATGATTGTGTTGTACAGATCATAGAACATATAGTTAAAGTTGTCATACATTAGCTGCTGCAGAGCAATTCCTCCTTCTCCCTAAAGGACATAGGAGATAGTTAAAAGTTGTCATACGCTAGCTGCTGCAGAGCAATTCCTTCTTCTCCCAGTGTGTGTGTGTAAAGGAGTAAGGTCGCTTGTTAAACCCAGAAGCATATCTAGGGATCTAATTTAAGTGCATCAGCCTCCTAGCATGTTGATTTGAAATTTTACACTGGCAGAGCTGAAACCATGGGGACTTTATGAAATTGCGTTTAATTTTAACTTGCATTTTGAAAATGATCTCTCTAGCTCTTTCTCTCCTCCCCTTATTAATAGACACATACTTTTTCATACTTTACTATTCCATTTCTTTTAATCCTTTGAGTAAGTGATTTTGCTTTTTTGTCATATTGCTCTTATTCTCCTGAAGCTTCTTTTATGTTAGTAAGATGTTACGACTGTTTGGGGGATGACATGTTAGGGATGGGGTCCTTGGCTTACTTGCTCCTTATTACTCCTGGAATGTGGCAAGCTTTAGTTTTATTCAGTAGAGTTTACACAGCTGTGCATAAGGACATTGCATGAGGCCTCACAGTGCAATCACTCAGCAAAATAAATCAATTAACAAATATTTATTAGACATGGACTTTGTTGGTAAAACAAGGTATCTAGAGTTGGTGTTGGAATACATAGCTAATCCACAGAGAAAAAATTTTAGCTCAAAAATTCTCAATAATCATCAAATGTTCTAGATTATTATCTAGGAGGTGTTCAAAGGAGTTGGCTATGTTATGGAAGGTCTGTGTAACTTTTTTGTGTGTGTGTGTGTAGGTTTTGTGGAGTGACAGACACAAGTTTAAAATAACCTGCAATCCAGTATCAGGAGTCACCCCATATCCTCAGAACTGAACAAAACCGAATAAACAAATATGTAAACTACAAAAACAGCAAAAGACTTTCTTTGGAAATACAGGATTAATGTCTTTAAGTGAGTTTAACCTCTTGAACCATACATCATACAGACATTCTTTGATTAAAATGTAGACCAGATTAAACAAACAAAAAAACAAAACAGCTGTCTCAGTGAGTCAACCTAGGAGCATAGCACAGAGCGAAGCCACAAACTCCATGAAAGTCGAGGCAAGGGTTCTCGAGAAGTGTCTGTGCTGCCTGTGGTCTGGAAGACACATTCTGGCACTTTCCATGCAACTTGAGTGCAGTGTTAATTCTTACCTGTCATAATAACAGCCACCTTCTGAGGCATTACCCTGCCAGGCACTGTTCTAGGCAGCTTACTATTTTAATACTGGATTGCAGGTTATTTTAAACTTGTGTCTGTCACTCCACAAAACCTTCACACAAAAAAAGTTTTTATAATTTTCTCAGCGTCAAACAGCTAATAAGTGGTAGTTAGGATTTCAGTCTCGTTCTTGACATCCATGCTTATACCCACAGCACATATTTTCATCAACTTGTAGAAGCTTATCCTTCTTGACATCATGTGTGGTTTTATGGGCAGGCTCTTTAGATTTATATATGGGTAAAGTATTTTAGAAATATTTATAAATATGTTGCATGTCCACATGAATTTGCTGTCATTTCTCTCCCTTTTTGATGTTCCCTTATATTTTATTTTTCTATAGTTGTTACTTTGCATGCTGTTATTGCCTACCTTGACTCTATTTTCCTGATAAATAAATGTTTATTGAGCAACAGGATGAGTGAACATTTCCCAAAACCTGCAACTCTAACAGCTAGATCCTTATCCATCATTATTAATATTGCACTTATTATATATATTTATATATAATATTGCATTTAATATATAAATATAAATAATATATTAAATGTATATATAATATATTAAATATAAATATATTTATAATATATAAATATTTATATAAATATAAAATATATATTAAATATAAATATATATAAAATATATATTAAATATATAAAATATAAATATATATTAAATATATATTAAATATATAAAATATAAATATATATTAAATATATTTTAAATATATAAAATATAAATATATATTAAATATATTTTAAATATATTAAATATAAATATATATTAAATATATTTTAAATATATTAAATATAAATACATATATTAAATATATATTATATATATAAAATATATAAAATATAAATATATATTAAATATATATAAAATATATATGTTAAATATATAAAAGATATATAAAATATAAATATATATTAAATATATATAAAATATATATATATTAAATATATATATTAAATATAAATATATATAAAATATAAATATATGTATTAAATATATATATTAAATATAAATATATGTATTAAATATATATTAAATATGAATATATGTATTAAATATATATTAAATATAAATATATGTATTATATATATAGAATATAAATATATGTATTAAATATAGTATATTAAATATAAATATATATAAAATATATATTAAATATGAATATATATAAAATATATATATTAAAAATATATATAATATAAATATATATAAAATATATATATTAAAAATATATATAATATAAATATATATAAAATATATATATTAAAAATATATATAAAATATATATATTAAAAATATATATAAAATATATATATTAAAAATATATATAAAATATATATATTAAAAATATATATTAAATATAAATATATATATTAAAAATATATATTAAATATAACTATATATTAAATATATATTAAATATAACTATATATTAAATATATATTAAATATAACTATATATTAAATATATATTAAATATAACTATATATTAAATATATATTAAATATAACTATATATTAAATATATATTAAATATAACTATATATTAAATATATATTAAATATAACTATATATTAAATATATATTAAATATAACTATATATTAAATATATATGAAATATAACTATATATTAAATATATATTAAATATAACTATATGTATTAAATATAAATATATGTCTTAAATATATATTAAATATAAATATATGTATTAAATATATATTAAATATAAATATGTGTATTAAATATATATTAAATATAAATATGTGTATTAAATATATATTAAATATAAATATGTGTATTAAATATATATTAAATATAAATATGTGTATTAAATATCTATATTAAATATAAATATATGTATTAAATATATATTAAATATAAATATATATTAAATATATATATTAAATATAAATATATATTAAATATAAATATATATATTAAATATATATATTAAATATAAATATATATAAAATATATATATTAAATATAAATATAAATATAAAATATATATTAAATATAAATACATATATTAAATATATGTATTAAATATATATATAAAATATATGTATTAAATATAAATATATATATAAAATATGTATTAAATATAAACATATATAAGAAATATATATATGTATATATTTAGTGTTTGGCCACAAGACAAGATCAATAATGGTTAGGTTCATTGAGATTTCTAATCTAACTTCTGGATAATGCAAAAGCTTCTCAAAGGGGGCAGAAAATTATGTCTTAATTCATGACTCTGTTCCTACCATATCTTAGTGTTTGATAAATAGTATGCCCAATAATTATTTGCTGAATAATTTAATCATTATCATTACCTAAACATTATGAACATGCATAAAAAGTATGCATAAGACACTAAATTAAGTAATGAATGGAATTCAGAAAAGCATAGTAATAAGAGTGACAATATTTACCATGCCAGACATTGTGCTCCGTGCTTTCTTTTGATGCATTGCATCCTCCTAATGACCTCACAGGTACTATCAATACCTTATTTTTGGTAGTAGAAAACCTGATTACTAGAGAAGTTAAATAAGCTATTTTCCCAAGGTCCCATAGCAAGTAAAGTGGCAGAGCCTGGATTCAAACCTAAGGCAGGTATTCATTCCAAAGCTATTTCAAGTAGTCTTTAGTATGACAGAAACCCTCTTACTTGGCATTAAAATTTTTATTTATTTAAATAGCCATTTAAAATAATTCATAATAATTAAATATGTTTTCCTTTAGCTTAAAAATATAAAAGTCTATTATTTTGCCGAACTTTTGCTATAAAACAAGCCTTGCTATTGAGTATGAATCATTCCCTTAGAATTCTATGTTGTCTTGCTTATACAAGCCACCTCTGTAGTACATTGTCCACAATTTCCAGTTCCAGTTTCTATTTAGTGGGGCCAGAATTTATAGACATCTGAAAAATAATTTCTGGTTTTTCCTCAATCTGTTCATTGCTTCAGTAACACCTAATCCAAGGCATTTAAAAACAACAACAACAACAGCAACAACTTATCTTTATCAAGTTTCTCCAAAGCCTTTGACCTAGTTCTCATACAAACAACTGTCTTTTGAGTGCATATTTAATAGGCTTACTTATATGATTCAGTTATGTAATAACAAAACAAAAGTAACTGTCATATATAGAACAGGGAATAAACATAACGAAGTCTCGATAAGCAAACAATTCTACTGGTGAGAGCAGTGGTAAACAAAAGAATGACCTAATAAACATGAGTATTCAGGGTCTTAAAGCATTGACTAATGCTTTTTAGAGCCAATGGGACATTAATTAATTGAGTGGAGTTTACTTAAGCCAACTTCTACTATATTACTTACATGTATTTTTCTTTGTCGAACCTTGATCCAGCACTTTACTATGTGCCAATCACTGTTCTAAGTGCTTTAAAAATATTCACTTATTTAATCCTCAAAATTACTCTCTGGGGTACACAGTATTATTATCTAATTTTACAGAAGAGGAAACTGATGGTCTGAGAGGTTACTTACCTTGCCCTAAATATACTCCTTGTATGTGGTGAAGCAAGGATTTGATCTTAAGTGCATACTCTTAATCCGGTGCCTACCAAACAAAAGTCATTGTACCTCCTTTTCAAAAGCCTACAATCCAGACAGAAAAGGCCACACACACATACTCCTCATACAAACTTGTAAACGATAATTATCTAACGAGGGGTCCAGGAGTACACAAACATCCCTAATCATGTCAACTAAAGCATGAAAATGCATATTCAGTCCCCATATGGTAAGCGTCTCATTTATAGGAGCCAGTTTCCATTTTTCTTCTCCCTTTTCCTTCCCCAAATGATTATAATGAACAAGGGCATTTGATTTTTCTTTTGTTAAGCATTCTTGCTTATCTCTTTACAACCATTTCCTGTATATGTTACTATTCTTTATGGCTTCCAGGCCCTGGATCGCTAATGCAGACCGTGTGTAGGAGACCTGCAGGCCAAGGAGCACCCTGGAAATTCTCTGGAATGTGTCCTGGAGGAGTACCTCCATCCTTTTATCTCAATCTTGTGGATTATGTACGATAATCCCCACAACTTCCTAAGATTCTGGGCTCAAGATTATAGAGTCATTTTCCTCTCCCAATGAAACCACACATTTTAATCTGATCCAAACATCTTTACTTTTGATGTCACAAAAACTACTTCTATGGTCTACTTTATTTATAGGCTTATAAGTAAGAGGAAATGAATCTAAATTCTTCACAATTTTATATTGTCAATGACCTCCTCCACTTGGAAAGTAATTTTGACCATCAGGACATATGCATAATTTATATCAAGAAAAATGTGTTGCATCTTTAAAAATCATGTAATGTTTCTTTTAAGAAGGTCATATACACATGGTTCAAATATCAGAAGTACAAAATTTCTATAGAAAGCCTTCCTCTTAACTCTATGCCCCAGTTACCTATGCCATCTCTGGGAGGCACACACTATTCCCTAGTATGAGGAACATTTTAAAAATAAATATTTAAATGGCCTGAAATGTGTTAATCAATCAATAAGATGAATAGCTTTGATTAACTAAGAAGATAAATATTTGGTGCCACATTTGAACTAAACTATTGCTTCAAAATAACAGCTTTTCTGAAATCCTCTTAATATCCTATTAACACTGAGAGTAGCTAAAAAAAAAAGTAAGAATTCCAACATTAAAATACAGACATGGAATAGCACTTGGACTATGAGAGATGACTTTTCTACCCAGAACATATATTAAGATATATATATATATACACAGATATAAGGTGAGGACTTGGTTTTGATTTCAAGCAAGTGAGGCTCAGGTCAATCTCATCAAGATTTCCATGCACACATTAAGTCAAATGAGCTTGCTTTCAATGAGCAAATCTGCTAATATCATAGAATAAATAGATTACTCCCTTTCCAGGCATCCTGGGAAAACTGGGTTATGTTCAGTTCTGGCATGAACTTGCCTGCTTTTCACTGTGTATTTTCTTTCACATTTGCTGTTCATAAAAGCACAATCCTCGGGTAGTGCATGTTATAAGATGCTTTCAAATCTCCATTGTATAAAAGAATGTGACAGGGAGCAATAATTTATATTTTATTTCTCAGAGAGGGCACTGGATTTCTTCAGAAAAACCCTCAAGTGATATATGCGTATTTGGTTTGTGAGTCAGGTTTGCCTGTACACAAAGGCAAATCTAACTTATAACTTATTCATGATTAATTGTCCTTCTGGGGGACAGGAAAAACATAATTGAATTCCAAAAAGAGTCTCTCAAACTCATTTATTGATTATCTTATTCCTTCCCACCTCACCCTCATCTTTTGGAAAATAGAAATGCTGTAAGCAAAATTAGAAGACACGAATTTCATTTCCTTTCATTTCTCCTGGTCTTCTTAGCTCCTAGCTACTAAACAAGCCGCAGAGAGGGGAACTGTGACTTGAATGTGCTTAAGGAAGCCACAAACTAGATGTTTAAAATGCCTCTGAATATTTATGATTTGATTAGGATAATGACCCTCATGCTATTGATACTATATTCTGAAAATAATATATTATGAGTATGGCTGATTGCCAGGTTGAAAATAATAACCTATGTCTGGTCTTTGGTGCTATAATGACATTTATTTTAGTATGGCCATCATTATCATCATCACCATCATTATATAAAATCACAGTTTGCACATGTTATATATGACCTCAATTTAGGCCTTGGCTAGGCTGAATGGCCCCTGTCCATTAACAGAAAACCATTGTATCCATGTTCATATGTTTCAGCATTCAAAGATTGTTTTCATGGCTCTAACAAACAAATCTTATAATTTAGGGTCAAAGATCCCCAGTGATCACTGAAGCTTCTATCATCTTTTATGCAAAGACATAGTCTATGTGGAATGAAACAAATAAAAATGGAACAAATGAAATGATATGAAAACAAAACAAAACAAATAGTTGCTGAACACCTACTATGTGTCAGGCATCCTGCTAAGGGTGAGATACCAGGGTATACAAAATCTACACTGTCTCTATTTTTGTGCAGATTAGGTACCCTTGGGAGAGAGAGAAAGAATAATGAGGGCTATTTAGGGAAAGTCTAAAAATCTGTGCAGGTACATAGCAGGGCACTTTACTCAGGCTCGGCAGGTGGAATATTAGGGAAGACTTCACCAAGTGCTGCTGATTTGAGACATAAAGTCTTTATAAGAACTAGCCAAACATGAGAGGCTGGGGAATGAAATGGTAGTTCTAGGAAGAAAAGTCCTTTTGTTAAAGGTACAGGGCCCAAAGGGAGCAGGAGTGTCCCAGAAAAGGAAAGATACTTAGTATGATGAATGGCAGGGCAAAAAGAGGAGAAAGTGTTGAGAGATGAGGCTAGAAAGCAAGGCAGAGTCCAAAGCAGATCACGCAGAGACTTATTCAAATTAATTGTGAAATTGGAGATTATCCTAAGAGCAATTGGAAATCACCAAAAGGGCTTTGAAAATAAAATCAATATAATTATGTTTGGATTTTAAAAATATCACAATGACTGGTGTAGAGAGAATAGAACAATGGTAGGCAAAACAGGAAACAATTACAGCAATTCAACTGAGATATAATGGAGGCAATGATGGCAACAATGACAAAAAGGACTAAATGGTTACTTAGATACGTATAGCAAATATATAGAATTATTAATTCCCTTGGTGAATAAGCAGCTGTGATGAATATGAAACCCAAGTTCTTGGTTGGCTCACAGAAAGATGACCCAGATTGGGCAAAAAGCTGATGAGTTCTATTGTGGCAATGTTACAATTCAGGTGTTGGTGGGAGACCCAAGTGGAACTATCTAGATGACTGCTAGATATAAGAATCTCAAATCAGGTGTCAAACCTGTGAAAAGCTGTACAATTGGGAACAATTCACATAGAGCCTTAGAAGTAGATGGAGTTATAAAAACGGTGTTTGGTAAGAGAAAGAAGCAGCTCTGAACAGACTATTAAGGGATGGAGGGAGAAGAGGAACCCAAAAAAGAGGCTGAAAAGGTCAGAAAAGTGGAAGAAAAATCTGCAAATGTGTAGAAGGTGGTACCAAGAAAGCTAAGGGATTAGAGCATTTCAAGAGCGAGCATTAGTGCTGCAGAGAAGTCAAATAAAACTGTGAATGAGATATGTCGATTGCATTTGGCAACAAATAGGTCACTGGTGACCTTGGCAATAGCAGTCTCAGTGAAGTGGTATTAACAAAATCCCCATGGCAGGAAGTTGAGCTGTGGGAGGTGCAGGGGTGGTGACACTAAGTATATGCAGCACTTTCAAGATGTTTGGTTTTGAAATAGAAGAGAGAAATAAAACAACTTTCTTTACAAAAATAAAATTCTTTATAGCAGTTAAACATCATTTAATATTGCACAGTATTGTTGTTAAAATAGAAACAGTTATAGAGAACATTTCAAAGGAAAGGCCTTCGTCTCCAATTCTTAAATATTTTGAATTTGTGCCAGTGCTTAATGTTCAAAATTCTTGTTTAGCATATTTCTTTTCAATGTACTCCATTTCTCTTAAATGAAAGAAGTCAAATATCTCTCCTAAGGGCATATTTGGCTCCACAACCATGTGGCTTTCAGCCATTTTTGTCATCAAAAGTCCTTTAGATTTCTGGCTTACACAGCCAACTAAGAGAGAGTACTGTACACAAATGAGGGGGAAAGTCTAGGCCTTTATGCCTTCTCCAGTATTTTGTCTCTTTTTTTCAAAGAAAGAATTGAGTGATTTGAAAGTCCAACTAATTTAACCTTGGTTTAGAGATGGGGAAATAGATGCTTATAAAATTATTGAATATTCAAAATATAGAATATATAAGTGGCAAAATGAAATCCATGACACTGATCTTAATCATTTGGCTGTATATTCCATCTTTTCCCATTGAATCCAAAGTGTAAAGTTTAAAACTATGAGGTGAATTCTCTCTCCTTTATATTAATAACTATTAGTGGTTACTTGAAATGCCAGACTCTTCTATGTCATCTGCTCATATGAAGGACCTCTATATGGGATCGGATAGAAACAATTTCATCAAGAGTGCCCCTTAGAGTTAATTTCAACAAGAGTTTGGTTCCCTACTATACTAAAACATGTTAACACTCTATTTGACAAGTTAACCAAGAATGTAGAGATCTAAAAGAATTCTGTGATTCCAAGTATTGAACAAGTTTTCCTAAATGTGCCGGACAAAAACTTTGCCAAACACCGTAGATATTGGAAAAATTCTGTTCCATAATATGAAGCCACTCTAGACTTTAAGCAGAAAATTTGATTGCTCAAAATCCATCTGTTGCTGTGGTTTAACAATGGGGGTGGGGGGTGGGGGGGGAATATTGTTGGAAGAAATCTAGTGAAGAAGTGATTGAAGAAAATAATACCGAACCTAAATAAAAGCATAAAAGCCTTGGCTATTGCAATGACTGTATTCGGGGGAAACACACACACACACACACACACACACACACACACACACACACACACACATCTTTAGTTGCAAAAAAGCGATAACCTAAAACTACTATGAGGATCATTTTTTTTTTTTTAGTCTTGGGTACAAAAAAATGTTTTCCGTATGTCTTCTTCAAAATGACTGGTTCCAAGTTTTTCGTACACCATTTTTTCACCCCATGAACTAGTGTATTATTAGAAATCAACAATGCCTTTTTATATCATAGTGGCAGCATCATACGTGCTTCAAAATTTAGAAATTGACAACACTTTGATGCGTTTTATCTACCTTCCCTTCAATTTTACTTTGATTATATAATTTAAACTTATTATACTCTTTATCAAATATTTCTAGTAAATATTATTTTATCATGAAAAAGTGAATAAAAATAAATTTACATGGATAAATGTAAACAAAACCTTTATATACAGTATGAAAAATGAAGCTATTTTCTAAATGAAAATATTAAACAAAAGATGTCAAAAATTTAAAGTTCAATCACATAAAGATGCCAATGAAATTGGACTAATTTTGGAGGCTTAATCATGGTTGCATCTGTATCACTTAACTCAAAGTATATTAGATAAAATTAGGAATAAAAGGGGGAACTGATAGTGTTCTTGTTTTTTCTATACCGGGATTTTTTTTTTGGTTCAGTATATGCTAGGATACTAAACAAATATATGACAATAGATTATTTTCTTTCTTTCTTCTTTCCTTTTTTTTTTTTTTTTTTTTAAACAGAGTTTCGCTCTTATTGTTGCCCAGGCTGGAGTGCAATGGCGCGATCTCGGCTCACCGCAACCTCTGCCTCCTGGGCTCAAGCGATTCTCCTGCCTCTGCCTGACAATAGGTTATTTTCTAAAGGGCTGAATGTAGACAGCAGGATTTTTGTTTGTATAAATTTAGTTCAATAATAAAAATAAAATAGTCTCAGAAACAGATATAGTCTGAGATTGAGGAAATAATGTAAAACTAAATCCTTTTACAGAAACTGCTAGTAACATTTTACATGTAAAAATGTCCCATTAAAAGTGTTTTATTATATCTTTGCTCATTGTTATTACAAAATATGGGCTTAGGTTGTACACAGGTTTACAAGGTTCAAAATGCTTTTGCTTGCTATATCTCTTAATCTCATAACCATTTTGGCAAGTAGTTAAAAAGTCTTACGTATTATTTTTTCAGATGAAGAAACTGAGGCTCAAAGATTAAGGGTTTTTAAATGGTCACTTGAAACTTAACACAGAGTTCTTTGCATTTACCATTGTGATATGAATCAGAAAAGACTCATATTCCTGTTGACTTATCAAGTCATTTATTCTGATTTATTAGATCAGAGTATGTATTCACATAAGTAATAAAGGAAAATATGTAAATACTTATTAATTATGCTTTAATGCATTCTACTCTTTGTTTTTAAAACACTAAAATTATATCATAAAATAGCAACCATAGTCTTCAGATACTTTTAGTTTGCCCTCTCATGAGCTTTTAGCTTAGATTTGAGCTCCTTATCTCAAGGCAGGAGAAATTTCTGAATATAGACACTAAGAGAGTGTGTTATCTGTGTAAGGCTTAAAATAAGATTACAATAAGCAATCGAACTACAAGTTAGTCTTTCTTTTATAAGTCATATACTACAGCAATTCTAAACAATGTCAGTTTTAACGTAATACCCATTGCCAAGGTGTACTATCCCACTGTCTGAACTGACCCTACCACAGTGGAGAATTCCTCTGTTATAGCCCATGAATCACATGTGACACTTAAACTTCTTTATCAGAGCCACCCCAAAATAATCTGTGGTGTGTAAATTGACAAGTACTATTCTCCATTAATTTGCCATGACAGTGAAAAGCCAGAACTCATGGAAGCACATGTGTCCACATACTGTCTCCTCAATAATGCTTCCCCAAGATACACATTTAAAAAACATTCCTATAGTTTAATTTCATAGGAGAAGCTAATAATACTGCTTATATGAACACTAAGGTTTACAAAGGTGACATAAAAAGGGAATCCTATGAATTATGCAGAATCCTTGTTGATGGCCATTTGGTACATAGCATATTTTTGTTATCAAAACGACTACTTGAAGGGGAAATGAGCTTCAATTGGTTAAGTGTGAATAGCATGATGAATAACGACTTAAAAACCTGTGAAAGAGCACCATTTCACTATATATCTGCACACACACACACTCTATAACATTGTGATCAATGGAACGAATAAAATCACTAAAATAAAGCCTAGTGAATTTAATCATTTTCCCTTTTTTGTGAAAGCTAATTATTTACTTGTCTTTGTGAAAATCATTAATAAATCTCTTGATTTCAGGAAGTAGTTGACAATGTCTCTAGCTGTACCCGTGGATAGAGGAAAAATATATAAATTGGGAGATTTCTATATCTGGTAATAGCAGGGTACGTAATTCAACCAACACTCCTGCCAAAGACTGCTATCAAAGCTGGACAAAATATGTTTTTAAATATCTTTGATGGCACTGGGAAGTTAACAAAAGGATAAAGAACTACTGAGTATTTTGGAGCTGTTTTTCTCTTAGTACACTTTCTCATTTCAATGGTAGTAGCTGAGAGCGTAAAAGACTTCATGGTGCTTTTAATGCCTCACTAAAAGGGCCATTTCACTAGTGAGAAAGGGATTGGATTTCAAGGCTACACTGGGAGCCCTGATGAAAGTCCTTTGCAGGCCATTGGAATCAGAAACATCAGAATCCTCGGAATTATAGTAAATTGCAAGTAGACGGTTGTACTGAAGACCACAGCATAGTATTTAATGATCTTGATTCCTGAAATTGGATTGATGGGATCAGAGGGACCTAGCAGGGTAGAATATAATGTCATTTAGGCCTCAAATTATTTCTGCAAAATATTTTGCTAATACAATGACTAGCAACAAACCAAAGTAACAACACACTTTTAAAAAAACAAGCCAAGATGAGTAAACGACAAATAGAAACGGAACTGAGCAACCACAGGGGCTCCAGATATTAGAGTCATCAAAAACAGGCTTTAAAACAATTATGCTTTTTTTTTTTTTCTCTTCAAGATGACTGACTAGGGACATTGTATACTAGTTCCTCAGAAGGAAGATTAAAGTTATTAGTGAATTGCTAAGTTTTGAGTGGAAAACGGAGGGAGGAGAGCTAGGACCCACCAGAGAGCACATGCAAAGATGCTGGGATAAACAGTGAAAAAAAGCAGTAAAAGTCTGCTGAGATAGAACCCTGAGGAGCTCAGAGCCCAGTGGAAAATGTATGTGGAAACACTTCTCTGCTTCTCTCACCCTTCTGACACTCTGCTAAGTGCAGAGCCTACTTGAGGAGTGCCTGTGCCCCCACAACCAAGGGCAACACTATCGGTGGCAATTAGAGATCTTCCCGGGAATAGAGAACTGGGTGACCAGCTCGTATAGCCATGCCACACTCCTGTCACACACAGACTGAAACAATGGGCAGCATACTGGCTGTGTACCCATGGTGCCACTCTCCTCCCTGCGTATCTTCTACTCTTGAGCCATAGCACCAGCAGGCTGCCCATAGATGTGTGCCACAACCCGCTCTGACTTTGGCAAGGCCAGGGAACCAGCGGATCCTCTGGGAGTTGTGGGTCCCTTGGAGATCTAACCCTTAGTGTGAACTTCCCCTAAGGGAGGGGGACTGCAGCCCACCAAAGCCCCCCTGGGCCACAGGAAACATGGATGCGGTGCCAACTGCTGGCACCAAAGCCCAGGAACAGACACGAAGAGGGGGTCATCTCTTATTTCCTGTGCCCCTCCCCAGTGCACTGTTGCAGACATGGCAGTGTTTATTCCCACTGGGGACTGTTGAGCATGCGCTGGAAGGAGGGACTTTTTGTACTTATCCAGTGGCTCTACACCCACTGCAAGCAAGGGCACACTGGAGGAGGGTATTTTCTGTGGTTTTTAGCAGCTCTGCCCCCACTGAGGGCAAGCATATGCTGAGAGTCTACCTGATGGTGGTTACATTAAGGGCCATCTATTGCACTGCATCCTGAATTACACAACCAAAAAAAAAAAAAAATGCATTGCTTCAACAAGCAGTACCTGAAAAAGCCACTGCACAAACTTATCTGCAACCAAGGAACCTGTACAGAGCCTTGACACTCTGAAAGCACCCAGAAACAAAGCCAATCAATCATACACAACATACACCACAGTCATAAACTCAAGGGAAAAAAAAGAATTTAAAACTCAAAAAGTCCTATCCAACTGATAGCATATTCACAAAAAGAAGCATCAGCTTCCTCAGATGAGGAAGAATCAGTGCAAGAACACCAGCAATACAAAAAGCCTGAGTGTTTCGTCACTTCACAAGGATCACACTAGCTCCCTAGCAATGGACCTTAACCAGATTGAAATGTCTGAAATGAACAGATATAGAATTCAAAATATAGTTGGCAAAGACACTCAATGAGATCCAAGAGAAAGTTGAAATCCAATACAAAAAATCCAGAGGAAAGATCCAAGATATGAAAGACAACATAGCTATATTAAGAAAGAACCAAACAGAAATTCTGGAATTGAAAAATTCATGACAGGGATTTCAAACACAGTTGGAAGCCTTAACAACAGACAAGACCAAGCAGAAGAAAGAATTGTAGAACTTGAAGACCAGTTTTTTGAATTAACCCAGTCAGACAAAAGCAAAGCTTCAGAAACTGTGGGATTATGTAAAGCAGCCAAACCTACAGTGTATTGGCATTTCTGAGAGAGAACAACAAAAACTAAGTAAATTGGAAAACATATTTCAGGTCATAATTCAGGAAAATTTCTCCAATCTTGAAAGAAAGGTTGACATGCAGATACAAGAAATTCAGAGTACACCTGCAAGATACTACATAAGACAATTATCCCAAAGGCACATAGTCATCAGACTATCCAAGGTGAAAGTGAAAGGAAAAATCTTAAAAGCAGCTAGAGAAAAGGGCCAAATTAACTATAAAGGAAATCCTATCAGATTAACAGTGGACTTCTCAGCAGAAACCTTACAAGTCAGAAGAGACTGGGAGCCTATTTTGAGCCTCCTGAAAGAAATGCCAAGCAAGAATTTCATATCCCATCAAACTGAGCTTCATAAATGAAGGAGAAATAAAATCTTTCCCAGGCAAAATCACAAAACAAACAAACAAAACACTAAGAGAATTCATCACCACCAGACCGGACCCACAAGAAATAGTCAAAGGAGCTCTAAACATGGAAAGGAAAGGATGATACTTGCTACCACAAAGCACACCTATATACAAAGCCCATAGACCCTATAAAGCAACTACCCAATCAAGACTACAAAGCAACTAGCTAACCACATTATGGCAGGAACAAAACCTCACATATCAATATTAACCTTGAAAGTAAACAGCCTAAATGCTTCATTTAAAAGATAGAGTAGCAAACTGGATTTTAAAACAAAAAAGACCCAACCTCATGCTGACTTCAATAGACCTATCTCACATGTAATAAAACCTATAGTGAGCCTAGGGTTGGAGAACAATCTGTCATGCAAATAAAAAACAACAAACAGCAGAGGCCACTATTCTTATATCAGATAACATATACTTTAACAACAACAAAAAAGGACCAAAAAGGGCATGACATGATGAAAAAGGGTTCAATTCAACAAAAATAACTATCCTAAATATATGCACACCCAACTTTGGAATACCCAGATTCATAAAACAATTAGTTACAGAACTAGGAGAAAACTTAGACAGCCACACAATAATAGTGGGGGACTTCAACACCCCACTGACAGCATTAGACAGATCATCGAAAGAGAAAACTAACAAAGAAATTCTAGAATTAAATTGGACGCTTGACTAATTGGACCTAATAGAAATCTACAGAATACTCCACCCATCAACCACAGAATATGCATTCTTCTCCCCTGTGCATGGAACATACTCTAAGATTGACTGCATGCTTGGTAATAAAGCAAGTCTCAATAAATTCAAAGAAATCAAAATCATCCTAAGCATCTTTTCAAACCATAGTGGAATAAAAATAGAAACTAAGTGTATACTGTCAAAACCACGCAAATCATGGAAACTAAACAAATTCCTCCTTAATAACTGGGAAAATAATAAAATCAAGGGAAAAATTTAAAAAAATTCTTGGAAACAAATGAAATTAGAAACACAACATATCAAACCCCTGAAAGCAGCAAAAACAATGTTAAGAGGAAAGTTTAGAGCCCCAAAAATCTATATCAAGAAGACAGAAAGATCTCAAATTAACAACCTAACATTGCACCTAAAGAAACTAGAAAAACAAGAACAAACTAAACCGAAAGCTAAAATAAGAAAAGAAATAACTAAAATCAGGGCAAAACTAAATGAAATTGACACCAAAAAAACATACAAAGTATCAAGGAAACAAAAGGTTGTTTATTTGAAAGAATAAACAAGCTTGGTAGGCTCCTAGCTAGATTAACAAATAAAAAAATATCCAAAGAAGCATACTCAGAAATGACAGGTGACATTACAACTGATCCCACAGAAACTTAAAAAAAAAAGAATCTCTAGAGACTATTTTTTTTTTTTTTTTTTTTTTTTGAGACGGAGTCTCGTTCTGCCGCCCAGGCGGGAGTGCTGTGGCGCGATCTCCGCTCACTGCAAGCTCCGCCTTCCGGGTTCACGCCATTCTCCTGCCTCAGCCTCCCGAGTAGCTGGGACTACAGGCGCCCGCCACTGCGCCCGGCTAATTTTTTGTATTTTTAGTAGAGACGGGGTTTCACCATGGTCTCGATCTCCTGACCTCGTGATCCGCCCGCCTCGGCCTCCCAAAGTGCTGGGATTACAGGCGTGAGCCACCGCGCCCGGCTCTAGAGACTATTATAAACATCTCTATGGGCCCAAACTAGAAAGTCTAGAGTAAATGGATGAATTCCTGGAAACATACAACCTTCCAAGATTAAACCAGGAAGAAACTGAAACTCTAAACTGACCAATAACGAGTTACAAAACCAAATCACGAATAAAAAATCTACCAACAAAAATATCAGTGGACCAGATGAATAAACAGCCAAATTCTCCTATACATACAAAAAAGAGTTGGTATCAGTCCTACTGAAACTATTCCAAAAAATCAAGGAAGGATTCCTCCCTACGGCAGTCTACAAAATCAGTATCATCCTGATATGAAAGTCTGGCAAGGAGGCAAGAAAACAAAACAACAGGCCAACATGTCTGATGAACATAGACCCAAAAATCCTCAACAAAATACTAACTAACCAAATCCAGCAGCACATCAAAAAGATAATTCATCACAATCAAGTGGGCTTTATTCCTGGGACACTAGGATGGCTCAATATATGCAGATCAATAAATGTGATTCACTACGTGAACAGAATGATAAACAAAAACCATATGATCATCTTAAGAGGCTTGAAAAAAACCTCAAGAAAATCCAGTAGTCCTTCATGATAAAAAAAAAAAAATCCTCAACAAACTAGGCATTGAAGGAATATACCTCAAAATAATAAAAGCCCTCTATGACAGACCCTCAGCCAACATCATACTGAATGGGCAAAACTTGGAAGCATCCCCCCTAAGAACTGGAACAAGACAAGAATATCTACTCTCACCACTCCTATTCAACACAGTACTGGCAGTCCCACCCAGAGCAATCAGGCAAAAGAGAGAAATAAAAGGCATCCAAATAGGAGGAGAAAGCCTAATTATTTGTGTTCACTGATGATATGATTCGATACCTTGAAACCCACCAAAAGACTCCTAGACTGATAAACAACTTCAGGAAAGTTTTAGGACACAAAATAAATGTACAAAAATTAGTAGCATTGCTATACACCAATAATGTTTAGACTGAGAATCAAATGAAGAATGCAATCCCATTTACAACAGCCACACATACCTAGGAATACATCTAATCAGGGAAGTGATTAGATGGAATCACCTACATCTAATCACCTAAAGGAAGGACTACAAAACACGATTGAAATAAGCCATAAATGTCACAAACATATGGAAAAACATTCCATGTTAATGAATTAGAAGACTCAATATCATTAAAATGTTCATATAACCTTAAGCAATCTATAGATTCAAAACAATTCCTATCAAATTACCAATGTCATTTTTTCACAGAATTAAAAAAAACTATTCCAAAATTCATATGGAACCACAAAAGAACCTGAATAACTGAAGCAATCCTAAGCAAAAAGAACAAAGCCAGAAGCATCACGTTACTTGACTTCAAACTATACTACAAGGCTATAGTGAAAATGTTTACTACACCTACTGTGAAAATGTTGGAGGATTTTTTTTTTTTTGAGATTGAGAACAATCCAATGTTTCTTGCTATTACTACTTCTATTCAACATTGTACTGGAAGTTCTAGTCAGTTAATCAAGAAAAATAAATTAGTTATATGAGTTAAAAATAAAAAAAAATTAGAACATATTTTCCCAAAAAAATCTGCAAAAAAAATTAGAATTCAGAATTGAATTCTGCAAGGCTTCCAGATGTAAGGGAAGTGCTGCAAAATCAATTGCATTTCTATATACAAGAAAGAAACAAAATTTAGAAAAATATATTACTTGCACCCCAAAAAGGGTGTGCAAATATCTCAAAATAAATTTAACAACCTGTGTGCAACTTCCAACATAGAAAACTATAAGATATTAATAATAGAAATCAAAGATGATCTAAATAAAGTGATATGCCACATTCATGGTTTGGAAGACTCAATATTTTAAAGATATTAATGTACCTCATATTGATTCAACACAATACTAAATAAAATTCCAACATAATTTTGTTTGCATGTTTGTATTTTTTTAAACACTCTTGTTTTGAAAAACTGATTCTAAAATGTGTATGTTGATGCAGATGATCAAGAGTAGGCAACTTGCTCTTGAAGAAGAAGACAAAGGTGGGGAGTTTTGTTGTCTCAACTATGGAATCTGTAAAGTTGTAGTAACTATGATACTGTAATCCTTGTACAAAGATAAGTAGACTAGTATAACAGATCAGAGAACTCAAAAGCAATCCCCTCATACAAGGATGCTTTATTAACAACAAAGGGCAAATACAAAGCATTGAGAAAGCAGAGCTTCCCAAAAGACAGTTCTGGGGATATTGGTTCTCGGTAGTGATAAAATGAATCTTGGTCCCCTACATTACACCATGCAAAAGATAATTAATTTCAGATTCATTGGAAACTATGTGTGAAAGATGAAACAAGGTAAAGTTTCTAAAAGGCAAAATAGGAGGTGATATTCATGATCTGAGTAGGGAAAGAATATTCCTCATGTAAGAGGAACATACAAGAAAGAATGATAAATTAAACTATGTGAAAATTAAGAACTTCTGTTTTCCAAAAGAGACCAACCAGGAGTATTAAGAAGACAAGATAATGATTTCATTTACATAGACTTCAAAAAGCAAGCAAAATTAAACTCTTGTACGTAATGGTTAAAACTATAAAGCAAAACAGTGACATGCATAAAAATCTGGTGTGAGAGAAAGAAGAGTAATGACTAAATTCTGTCAGAAGAAGAGTTTCTATTTCCTGATGAGGGTAGAAATTATACAGTTTACTTTGTGATAATTTATGAAGCTGTTTGTTTTTGTTTGGGGCACCTTTTATTATATATTTTATATTTTACAATATAAAATGCGAAAAACAACAATAAAAACATATGGACTAGCTGAATGGTCACTTCAAAATAGAACTACTTAGTGTATTGATAGTCAGTTAAGGTGTCTGAAAGGTTCTCAGTTTTCTATGTTAATTTGAATCTGTCAGTGTTTAGATTCAGGATTTATATAATATTGAAGGAGCCACGACTATGAAATTTTCAGATTGTTTATAGCTGAGACAGATGACAGAACTGAGATTTAAAATGGTCTTGACGGACTTGTAATTCTAGCCCCAAATCAACAAGAGGAAATGTATCAGGGATAATATACGCATAGCATACCAAACACTGGCTGTCAGGGGGTTAGGCAGAGAGGCCCCAGGGCTCCCGCTGCCAAGAAATTTTTCACAAGGTCCCCGTGAGAATGTCAGACAGAGCTCCATGAGTTGGCCTTGCTTTGGGATGCCATTGAACAATGGCTCTTGGCATCCAATAGGAATTTTTAAAACCCACCCAAATGCAGGAACACATACAACAGAGAGGGTCAGCAAAGGGAACAGACAAAACAAGGTCTTCAAAACCTGAAAAGAAAAAGCAGCAGCAGCAGCTCACGCTTCTTCCCACTATCTGAGCAAACAGGCAAGCCGAGTTTGGGAGGAAAGCACGGCCCAGTACTACAGAATGGTTCTTTAAGCAGCTGCATGAATAACAACTCACTGAGAACAGTCATATATGCTGAATCACATCCCAGACACCTCATTACAGTCATGGGGGAAAGGGAGCAAATCAAAGAGGATTCAGAGAAACCAGAAGAGAAGTGGTTACCTCCACCACTCTGAAATCCTGATTGGAGAGTATAAGACTATATAATGAAATAGTTATAGATCTCACTACATAGCCAAAGTCCAGTCATTCGCATCAAATCCTATTGCTATACCTGTAACATTCCAACTTATAGAACCCTTCCAGGTGGTGTTAAATATACATACCAGAACCTACCCCATTAACACAGGCAAGATTCCTACACTCCAGATGAGCAAGATGATTTCAGCTGTACACCTTCGAGAATCCTGTCCACAGCCCCAAACCATCTCTGGATCAAGTTGGGTGTATTCATAAATCATTCATTATGCTGGAACAGCTTAGGTCAGAACTAGTCTAAAAGTATAATTGTGGCTTTGCTTGTCTGAATCCCAACTCTGGTAAGGCAGGAACGGTGTCTGACATGTTTCCCAGTGGATTTCTAGGGCCAAACCCCAAGTAACACTCTGTGATTCTTGAGGGAAGGAAACGATGCTGTCAGGCAGAAAGGCAGGAAGGAAAATTCAGATAAAAAGCCCTAGGATTTATGACTAGCCATACATTTGCCATAAGACAACAGTAGAATACGATTATTTAACAAGCAAACATATTGCTAGACTACAGCAATAGAAGCTTACAATCTAGATAATGAGGGAGAAAAAAGTTTCCATCCACTCTAGTCATAACACATCTGCAGCACTGAGTTCCACACCCAGTGGCCACATTTAAACAACACATCAAGAAAGTTAAGTTCAGGGATGGTGAGCGGAGTAATAACAGATATGTAAAATAACCCCAAGATCAGTTGAAGAAGCCAGAGCTGTGTGCCTTGGAAAGGAGAGGGAAGAAAATGGTCATCTTCCATGGAGGAGAAGAAGTAGTCATGTTTCTCAAACCTGGCTGTGTAGCCATGTCACCTATCGGAGCTTTGCAAAAATACTGGGTCCTCAGGCCACTCCAGACCTCTTGAAACTCTCAGGATGATACTTGGAGCTGTGTGTTTGCACAAAGCAAACACACTAGATGACTCTAATGCAAAATCAACATTGAGAACCTCTGATGTAGACCTATTCTGTTTTTCTAATTGAAAGTCTTAGGATCAATGTGTACAAATTGTAGAGGAATGGATATAAGCTTTAAAAATAATAAATAATCTTGTTAACGAATACTCCACAATAGAATATCTAGGTTGGCAACAAAGTTGTTTTAGAAAACCTTTGGAAATATTCAGAAGAGACAGCAATAGCAACAGCAAAATCTTCTGAGGATACTGCCCAAAAAAAAAAAAAGAAATTCCCTGTACAAAAGGAGGGCTACTAAAGAAATCTGATGTCCTTTCTGAAGTGAAGGTCTTTGAAGCTAGGTACAGAGCAGCCTCATTTGGGTAAAATTCAGGTTTCTGGCAACTTTAAGCTTCCAAATGCAATCATTCAGATATTTAGTGGGTTTTACTACAAAATTTGACAGTAACAAATGATCAAGCTTATCAAACCCTTGATTAATAAATGTGATTATTTGTCTTTTTTCCAGCCTCCAGCAGATTAGAAGAAAATGAGAAGTGAGGATGAGAAAGCTATTACTGCACAGTCTATTCATAAATGCTCAAAACGATGTCCCTGAGTCACTTAAATGTGTTTGACTTATGGTGGGTATCCTCTTATAAAAAGGCAGTTTTCACAGAATAGTAGAATTTGGTTAAAAAAAAAAAAAAACTATTAGAAAAATTTACTTTAACCTCCTTTCCTTTTTTCTAACTTTTTAATGAAATATAATATTCATGCAGAAAACTATCAGATTAAAGTGTATAGCTCACTACATTAAAAAAAAGTGTATTGTGATCAGCATCCAGATTAAAGAAAGAAAGGTTATTTCCAGAAACCAATAACCCTCTTACCCTTTTTCAATCACCACATTCCCCACCCTCCCAAAGATAGTTGCTGCCCTACTTCTAACAGCATTGCCTTTGTACTTTATATAAATAGACTCATACAGTATGCACCCTTGTACTACTTTGTGTCTGAATTATTTTAACTTTTTTTTTTTTTAAATAATGACACCCAGGATGTGACAGGCACACAAATAATGACCAAGCAAGGAATACAAGAAGCCACAGGTCTTCATCTTTGGACTAAAGCAATTCTCACTAGCTCTTTCAGAAAGTTTTTGCTCCATAAGACTTTAACACATTTTCATCTTAAAAGATGTTTCAACTATATGAATCAACAAAGAAACAAAGATATAAAAAACAATAAAATTAAACATCTAAGTAAATAATTTATTATATGCAAAATGAGTAGCTGCAATGTCAAATTTTGTCTGCTTAATCTCACGTGTAATCCAGATATAAATAAGTTATTGTTTTGAACGATAACTTTATTTTTATGTCCTCTATGCCTCCACAAAATTAACTGTACCTAACTGGCCAATTTTCAGAAGGTTAACTTATCTCTATGAATATATAACTTCAATAATTCTCATCTTTGCATAGATGTGTGATGAACAATGTGGAAGTAAAAATGGCTGAAAACACAAACAAAAAAATTAGTAGATTGACTCCAGAATACTAATGCTGTGGTCCTTTGCATCAGAGATTAAGTATGCTTCACTAGAAGTGTGGAGGTAGGCCAGCTGAATCCTTGTGGTCACTCACCAGCTGAATGCCCCCCAAACCCTTGGTCTTGGCCTGAAAGTTATTTTATTTTTCTTTAGTGACTATTGATAATATATTATTTTGGAGACAACCTAAAATCGGTAACAGAAGTTAGTTATGTCTATTAATAAAACAGATTTATAAAAAAGAAGTATCCCAAAATGGCATACATATTTAGAAATCCCTAAAATTCTTAAAGAAAAATGTTTGAATTAATAATGTTCCATTTTCCCTAGCATTTCTATTTCCTGTTTGGGGAAATTGTCAATATGATGTCCTGCAATGTTGTTTTTTTAGGTTTGTGATTAGTTTTTGTAATGCTCCTTATTTTTATCTGGTCTACTGTAACACTGCACTTAGCATGAACTAAAAATTGTTATTACTAATTGATTTAAATTAATTTCATAGGCATTATATTACATAATAAAATGCAATAAAAATTGCATTCTCTCTATATCTAACAACTCAAGTTTAGGGGAATAAATTTAGCAAAGGCCCATGCAAATCTATAGGTCCTTTTTCCAAATAAAAATTTTGAATTTGAAAAGGAACAAAAATTTATCACATGTATAAAATGTAGAAAAGCGTAACTTTAGCACGCAGTTGGCTGATATCTAAAAAAACAGCCATCCCCATAAGATATATAAGCAAGTGAAAAAAGACACATATAGAAACAATATCATTTCCGTTCTCAGCTCAGAGGTCACATGTGAAAGATTATTAAAAAGAAAATTGTTTGCTGGTTGAAGTTAACCCTTCCCACATACCATGTCTGTGTAATGTCTAAGTTGACACATTGTAATTATGTGAAAGCCATATTTAAACATGAAGTTTTCAGATGTATATTTTTATGAATCACTTTGAATCACTCTTCTGTATGAAACATTCATTTGAAAGGCATTTAAGGTAAGATTTTCAAATCCGTTTTAAGAGGTGGTTGACTTTAACCAAAGATTTAAAATTAATTTCACTGCTATTTGTCTTTAAAGCCGCCACGGTGACCTCAGAAAGTCCAGACTTTCTACTGAAACGTGACAGGAGATCTAAAATTATCACAAGGGTTTCACAAAATTTTAAAATCCAGATTGATTTTAATTTGAAAAAAGTCAATACTTTATCTTCTGAATGTGAGAACTTTAAATAAGCTGAACAGCACTGAGTTACTTAAACAAGTTGATTTCAAATGTGGAACAAAGGCTTTTCATTTTCACTTGTGGGCATTTCCCATTTTGGAAAATGGCATGTGGCTGAGGCAGCGGAACCTGTCTTGGTATGGCAAGAACAGTGGCATCAAGGAACAGTGCTTAGGAAGTCATCAGTACCTGTCTTGGAAAGCAGCCCATTTGTATGTGCATTGTGTTTTTTAACAAAATGTGTATCTGCTTGCCTGTGGGAGTGCCTCGTGTATGTGTGTATACTGCAGATCATTTCACTGTGTCTCAATTTCCTCATCTATGAGATGGTCACAGACACTGCCGTCAGCATTCCTCAAATTCCTAAACCTAGGCTTTTGAAAACCAGCTAAGGATTCCAAAGTAAATGATGGGGCTTGGAGGTATAAAGAAAAATGAAACTGAGCTGTTATAACTCTTTTCCACGTTTCCAAACTTGAGCACACCCATTCCCGACCAGATCCCCTTTCCCATAATTTCCACTTCTGATGTTGGACCATGACTGGAAAAAAAGGAAAGCTGGAAGAAATAACTGAAAAATCCAAGAGGAAAGAGTGAAACTAAATCTCCTAATAGAAAAAGTGGAACATGATTGTCCTAATTTCCTAATCGTCTGCCCCTGAGTTACTGGTAAAAGCACTAAGAGACGTCCCAGATATTATGATCCTTTTACACAGCATGCAGATGGAAAATCAGGGTGGGATAAAGGAAGAGAAGAACAGAGAAGAGGCAGATTAACAGAATCAAATTCCAGATGGGAAAGGATGGAGAAAGGCAAATGGCATTCGGGCTCTCCCTCTCAACTATTCATGCTTTTTCCTATGGGAGAAAAGGGAGGTGGTTTCTTCTGGATGCTCTAAGTCTGGGCAGACAATAAAACATCACCACAGTGACAGCCGGGTTATTACTTTCCAGCTTGTGACCAAAATGAGACCCTAGTGTGGCAGAATTAAAATTCGCAATCTCATCCATGAAAGGATTTTCTGTACCAGACGTTTTGTTAAAGGTCTTTAAAAAACAGCCTAATGTGTTAATATTGAAAATAGATGCATGTAATTTGAGAATGAGTATAAAATACCGTGTGTATTGAATTAATAATGTTTCATTACTCACCATCACAGAGTCATTATTTTAAATAACCGTATTTCATTTCAGTGGACAGAGTGTAAATGAGTATGTATTTTTATGTAAAGTGGACCTGCATCATTATTTATTCATGAGTTTTAAAAGGATCATTATTTTTGACAGACAGCTCCTGTCAAAAGATTTATGCATAAGAGCTCATGTTTCCCCACAATAATCATCAATCAATAAACTTTGGAACTTGGTACTTAAAATTCAGTGTTACAGAGATGCACATTTTGTTCTAATTAAACACATGTTTGCATTTGGAAAATAAACTGCAACCTCAGTTCAAATATATAAAATATAAAATATCAATATTGCCTAGGCAGGGTGAGTCATGATTTTAGTTTGGGAATGCACCTTGTTACATTTTAAGTAATTGCTTTGCTTCTGCGCATCAGGCTTTTTTTGTGTGTGGCTGTGAGGCAGATGGGGAAGCTCACAAGATGTGGCTTTTAACATTGTGATTGGTTATCAGTGATGGTAGTTTTCTGAGCAATGATATTATAGCTCCCTGCTTTCAGCCTTATTTGAAGGGAACTAGGAGGGCATAAACAAGGCATTCCAGTGGAACAGAAAACATCACATGGCTTTCAGTATGGGGCTTGAAAGTCAGTTCAGAAGATGGGGAGACATGATGAACAGATGATAACATATAATTGCAAAACAGCAAAACTGCAACTGAAACTGATGACAAAGCTGAAGGAAAACAATTTCTGAACTTCCAAGATGAAAAAGGTGATGAATTACCAGTATGATGCAAAGATTTACTGCTCAGAGAAGAATTCTTAGTGGTGATACAGCCTTAACCTCAGAGAAAATAATTGAAAGATTTGAAAGTCTCTTGGGACCAGCTGTCCCTTCGGGATTTCCATAAACATTCCATTAATGTGCTATCCCCAAATCACTCTGTCTCCAGATAAGCTAATAATGCTGAAGATGATTATTATCTGAAATGCCCTTTTGAGTAATCTAAATCTAAACGCCTGAATTAAGTAGAATTTCCTACTTGGCAAAGTCCATTTTCATATCTGGATTTTTCGAATTTAGATTATCCATTATTTTGATATATCACTTTAGTATCAGACACTCAACACCTAGTTTCCTTTCCATCAGAGTTTAGAACTGGGCAGTGGTGCATCCATCTCTCATGCCTTCCCCTATGAGCAGAGCAGTCAGGTAAAGCCTGGGGCGCAGACAGGAAGAAGCCCAGGTACAGGACACTTTTAACCTTTGTCTGGAAGATATGCAAATTCTATTTCTCTTTGATCAAGCAACTAAACAGCTAAACTAATGAATAAAATGTCAGGCCTTTCCTTGATGGGGAGTGGGTGGAGAGAGAGACAGGCAAGAAGGAGAAGGGAGATGGGAGATGTGGAAGGTCAGCAGAGACAGCCGACCACTTTATGAACAGCTAGTGAAAATAAATGAGTCCTGAGAATGGATGGGACTAAGGCACTATAGAACAATTGCAAAGATAATGTCATCCCTATTTTTGTTTTAATTAGATTAGAAGTTTAACTTTCAGAGCTATCAACAGACTTTCAGGAAGTAAACTGTCAGTTTAATAACACATTAAAAGGTGAATTCAGTTTCTTACATAAAGCTCTCTGGACAATGCTGAAATAAGTTTTGGGGGAAGAGGTGGAGAAATGGAAAGTTGAACTTTTCTCTATGGGAAGTGAGTAGTTTTGGAGCAATACCAGAGTGATAGACATGAAGTCAACTTGGGGAGATGTAGGAGAAGTCACACTGCTGAAGAATCGGAGGCTTTAGTAGAAAAACCTGCCAGTGAGAAATACTCTAAATTGGGAATGTCTGAGAGCCAAGAGTTGGATGTTTAAGGTTATGAACAGACTTTTTAAAGTGTGTTTTAGGGAAAATTAGGAAAGGAGCCTCTTCCATCAGTTTATATTGCACAAAAGAGAATAGCTGCAGAGGCAAGATTAGGATAATGGGGGAAGCAGAAATGAGAGACAGATGATCATTACAAAATATGCTCAGAAATTCACATTCTGAGAAAGCTTTTTGTAGGACATGGGATAGGAGCTGTAGGTAGGGATGCCATAGAGAGAAAGATACTCCAAGGTATGGTGCATTGGTATGCTGAGCACTTTAAATTAAAAGAAATTGGAAGGACTCAGAAATTCATCTCAAAACCAAGGTCTACCAGCCCCTGTCTTTCTGAATCCTCTTTCTTTTTCAGAGAGAGATTCACAGGGATTCTCTCTGGAGTTTTATTTCCTGACCAAGATAATTTCTTCCCAAAAGGAAAGCAATTGTCTTAAGACTCTTTCCCTGGGAATCTCATTAAATAACCAGGAAAGATTAACCCTCTTCCCATTTAGAAAAAAAAAGTGCAGCTCACTGCCAGTACTCATTTAATTTTACATAAACACGCTCTTTGAGGCAGAAGCAAATATGACTGATTTTCAAAGTGAAAATAAAACATGAAAACTGTTCTTGGAGTTATTTCTAAACAGAACTAACATCAGCATCATCTGAATCATCAGAATCATCTATTTCAGAAAAATCGGCTCCATCGAATGAATCTTTGGCCAACAACTGTTGGAGAACGATGTTAACATCTCATGTGGGCATGCTACATTTTCTAGGATTTGACATTTTCAGCAAACAAGAATTACTATATTTTGTAAATGGAAATACCACTACTAACACCAGAATGCTATAAATAGGATGATGTCTTTTGTTTTAAGTCAATATACTACAGCAATGCTAAAATAATAAAAGTGAGATATTTCATGGCAAAGTTAAGTCGGGATAAACACTGCAGCTGCAAAGGCTGCCAGCGTGTATGCTCAGGGCAAACAGGAAAAGGGTTAACTACAGAATAGAGAAAAAACTAAAAGTCGTCACCACACCCAGATAGACTTTCCATCTATTCTTCTGAGGGCAGCTCTGAGAGATCGCCTGGGACACTTTATCTGCATAATAAGACAACCTTTGTTCACAATGCAGTTCCACTCCTCACCTTCTCATAACTTGTAAGTCCCATTCCAATTCCAAAGAGAATCATTTACAAAGCATTGGTTGGTCTTCTGGATCCATTCATTCCCTCTAAAAATTATTTACTAGCCCTCTAACAATTGCCTACAACACGCCCTCCACTGCTGCTCCCATTTCCCTCTTCCTTGAAGAAGATATTTAAGCCCCAACCATCTGGCCTGTTTGGAGTCTCATATTTGAGTGACTTCCATGTTCATATTCATGCTAATACATTTGTTATGTTTTTTTTCCTGTTAATTTGTATATTGTCATTCATTTTAGGGGATCTTCAAAGAAGGTAGAAGGGAAGCCTTCTCTCCATCTCTACGCTACAAAATATGTTATTGAGAATTCTGTCGTACTTCATGCTTATTAATAAAGTCTTAGGTCATTATTAACTTTTTTTCTGGATAAATTTCCAAGAGACAGATTACCATTTTAAGAAATATGAAAGCTAGCAGATGTCAACTTGGTGTGTAAGGAAAGGAAGATGCCAAGGCTCTGGTAATTTTGAGCTATTAGTACACCTAGTCATTTTCCAGGTCAAAAGCAAAGATCCACTTCGCCCTCATTAGAAGAGAATAATTGAAATCTATGAAGGTGTTTAGTGTCTAATTGGTGAGAAACCTAGAGAGTCAGTATTTCTGAGAAGCTAGAGGTTATAGGTTTCTGTTTGTCAATACAAGAAAAGATTTTATACCCTGCTTTTGGTCTGGTAGCTAATTGGTTAATACACATGTATATTTATAAAGCATGAGATATAAATAGATGTGTGCCATATGTACTTTAAGTCACTTAATTATTTTATATTAATGTAAAATATATACCTGCATATGCATTTGACAGTATTCTGAGGTGGGGCCATAGCCTTTTCTTTGAGTTCTTATTGGTTTCACATCCTCCTTTTATACACAGATTTTATTCATAATGTATTATTTTTCAGTTTCAGTGGCTTTAAAGTGGAGTAAGAAGATACAGATACTTGCTCAACAATCTGAGTGTTGCAACCATCTATGTTCATATTTTCTGTTTGTTCTTTTCTTGGTTGTTGTTTTCCACAAAACTTAAGTGAAAGTAATTCTTTTTAAGTAAGACTTTTAATTGAATACATGAATAGACTACACTCAATTTAAGTGTGAATATAATTTTTCGGATACATTTTCTGCAAGTGAACACACCTTTGTGACTGCTACCTAGATCAAGAAATAAAACATTGTCAACATCCCCAAAGTCCCTCTCCATCACTTTCCTACCATCCACCCCCCAAATTAATCAATATTCTGACTTCTGTCATCAGAGATAATATGTTTTTGACCTCTACTTAAATGAAATCACGCTGAACATACTCTTTTGTGTCTTGCTTCTTTTGCTCAACTTTCTAATTGTGAGATTCATCCAGGTGGTTAGGTGTCAACGTCATGTGCTCATTGTTATTGCTCCGAACCATTCTATTGTATAACTAAACCACCATTTCATTTGACTTCTAATAGACATTTAGGTTGCTTCTCATTTTTTGCTATTATCATAGTTCTACTATATAAATTCCAGTATGTGTCTGCTAGTGAACACATTGTATCTTTGTCTTGGCTATACACCTGGAAGTTGAATTGTTGGATCACAGAGTATATAATTTTCATGATTAGTAATGCTGTCACTTTTCAAAAGTAGTTGCATTAATTTATACTTCCACAGCACGTGAGAGTTCTAGCTACTCTGTATCCACCATCATTAGCTCTATGTATTGTCAGTCATTTTTATTTTAGTCATTCAGATACACATGTAGTGGCATGACATTCTGGTTTGAATTCATATTTCTCTGATAATTAACGTGGTTGAGTACATTTTCATATTTTCTTCTCTTTTTGTTAAATGCCCAATAATGTCACACATTTTTAATTAGTTTTCTGTCTTTTCTCATTGCGTCATATTGATTCTTGTTGATATATACAAATACAGTATCTAAGTGGCTTACCTGGATAGAAGCTCTAACAAAGCAACTGATGTGTTTTTCGATAGAACAAAACTACCTGTTTTCTGCACTCATATTTCAGTAGTTTTCTTCATAGTTAATAATTTTCACAATTGCAATAAGAACAACTATAATAAATACTTAAAAGCATAAAAATTATAATACCAAACTGAATTGTAAAAGGATGATATAAAAGATAAAGAAAGATAGAAGCTCGGAAGTTTTACTGCAGCAACCAGGTGCATCATTTTGTGCAACTTAAGGGTACACACATCCCACATATCTTGGAGCATTGAGCATTTCACAAAATGCTGAAAAAGCACTAATATCCTAATAAGTCTTCCTTCTGTGCTAACACAGTCTCTTCCAAATGCCAAACCCTTCGTTCTAAATAGCCAAAGGCTATTTGTTCATGACAGCAAAGGACAAATTTTACCACAGCAAAATGATACCTAAAAAATTTCATCTGGATCCACCCACTTTTACTTCCTAATTCCTGTATCTTGTATTTTTTTTTTTTTCAATCTTTACTTGCCTGTTTTGTTTGCTTGCTTTGGCTAAACTTTTTATTGAGGCATAATTTACATAAAATAACATGCGTGGATTTTAAGTGTACTGTCCAACACATTTTGACAAATTCATATACCCATGTAACCACCAATCTTATCAATAAATGGAATGGTTCTATTAAGAGAGAAAATTCCTTTGTGTCTCTTCCAAGTCATCACCCCCTCAGCTTGTCACTATTGTGATTCTATCACCACAACTTGATTTTTCCTGTGCACTAACTCGGCCAGCCAGAATTTCATGTGTATGCCACATGTGTTTTTTGTGCTCACTCTTACTCAGTCTTGACAAAGTCAATTGAGGCCTCTGTTTACTCACCTGAGTTCCCTCATACATTACCCTGTGGTTTCCTAATTGCAATTATTGGCATTAATTGATGCTGGTGCCATTTTTGATCATGTGGGTCTGTCTTGAGTGCCTTGCATTTCCAAAGGGCTTAACATTCTGAGAGCCACAGCATGTTTGAGTCAAAGTGTCAAAAGATATGTTATGTTTGCATTAATTACATTTCTGATTAAATGAAATGTGTTAAAGATATGTAGTATTTTATATCATGATGCTGGTAATAATAAAATGATGATAATCATAATAAAAATACATTGGTACAGTTTGGTACCTGCTTTGGCTTTGCTACTCCTGTATTGTTGAGGAAATCTCTAAGGGTATCTATCCTGCAGCGGGTGGGAAATGAAACTCTCTGAGAGTCATCGTACGTCACCAGAGGCTCCTTCCAGACTGCAAAGGTCAGAGTCTTTGTATTCTGCTCCCATTTAGTTTTATATCTTTCTGCAAGAGGGAGAACTACAGTGTTTCTTATATAAGTTACATTATAGAGTCTTGTTATCACTAGGAGAGAGTAAAGGATTCAGGGTTGAGCCTGGGCTACCAAACCATTTGGAAGAAATAAACAATCATAAGATCAGGTGCCAGCAATCATTGTACATCTAGTATTGCCTACAGACTAAAACAGTAATAGCACAACAAGAACTCTTCAAAGTTAAAGTTGTGCCATGGCATAAAAACATTTAGGAATCCATGCTCCAAAGTATGTGGGATGTATGTACCCCAAAGTTGCATCAGATGATACATCTAGTTGCAGCAGTAAAAGATGAGTTTCTATTTATCTTTACCTCTTCTTTTTACAACTCACTTTTGTACATATATGTTTTAAAATGTAAAAACATAATGCTACAAAAGGACATCTTGCATAAACAAGGACATTCAAAAAGTATGGGCTTCCTATATTATAATAGAAAAGGGTTGGCAGGTACATCTGGTAGACCCAGGTGTGCACTTGCTGCCCCATTCAAAAGCTCATTTGGCTCCACAGGGTCGAGTGATGAGGTTGTTCCTTTGATGGCATTTACTGCCTGAAAGTTTCCTCTCTTCCTGGTCACTTTTGAAACAAATATATACCTTAAATACTTTGGTATGCTGTATTTTTGCCTTATCTCAGGGCAGAGAGGACAATGGAAACAGTTTAGAGAGGTACATAATTTTACATTTTCCCAAATTCTCTATTCTAAATTTCATTAATGTTTTGGGAGCCTAATTTCCCCCAATCAATGGTACCTGTAAAATTATCACTATTTTTTTTCACATGTGCCACTTAGCTTTTCCATTGTCTCTTGGAAACCTATTCCTGGAGAGAATTTACAAGTCCCAGCTCAGTTCCTCAAGGAAGAAAAGGATGGAGGAAATCCTCAAGAGCAACTACTGCTGGGGAGGAAGAGAGATCAGGAAAAAAGGCCTGAAATTCTGTTGAAACAATCACTAATATTAGACACAAATGCATCCATGGTGGTGAAGGATGGGACCTAGAAGGTATTCAAAAAAAATTATAGATTTAATTATAAAAGAGGTGTCATTGATACCATGCAGCCAGATTATTCTTTCTAAGAGAATTGGTGCTTCATACTTGTATTAGTCTGTTCTCATGCTGCTAATAAAGACACACCCGAGAGCGGCTAATTTATGAAGAAAAGAGGTTTAATTGACTCACAGTTCCACATAGCTAGGAAACCCTCATAATCATGGCAAAAGGTGAATGAGGAGCAAAGTCATATCTTACATGGTGGCAGGCAAGAGAGCTTGTGCAAGGGAACTAACTCCCTTTTATAAAACCATCAGATGTCGTGAGACATATTCACTCTCATGAGAACAGCACAGAAAAGACCCATCCCCATGATTCAATTACCTCCCAACAGGTTTCCCCATGACATGTAGGAATTATGGGAGCTACAATTAAAGATAAGATTTGGGTGGGGACATAGCCAAACCATATCAATACTGAACTATGTATTCACAATTTCTATCTGTTCTTCCAGGTGAACAGTATTCTGTATTTGTACACTTAAATTATGTGTATACTAAATCTTTGTTGCTGTATACATTCATGAAATATATACTTTGCCCTTGATATGGTTTGGCTCTCTGTCCCCACCCTAATCTCATGTTGAATTGTAATCCCTAGTGTTGTTGATGGGGCCTAGTGGGAAGTCATTGAATCATGGGGGTGGACTTCCCCATTGCTGTTCTTGTGATAGAATTCTCACAAGATCTCCTTGTTCGAAAGTGTGTAGCACCTCCCCCCAACACCCGCCCCTGCCGCTTCTCTCTCTCTCTCTCTCTCTCTCTCTCTCTCTCTCTCTCTCCTTCTCTGGCACTGTAAGATGTGCTTGCTTCCCTTTCACCTTCTGCCATGATTGTAAGTTTCCTGAGGCCTCCCCAGAAGCAGAAGCCCATACACCCTGCAGAACCATGAGCTGATTAAACCTCTTTTCTTTATAAATGACCCAGTCTCAGGTATGTCTTTATAGCAGTGCAAGAATGGACTAATACAGTCCTAAAAGAGCAGGTTTGCTAAAACACCTAGTTATTCTGACATAGAGATCTATTAAAAGTTGTGTTAACATAACTGTTTACGCAAGTAAAATCTCAGCTGAGTTCAAAGTGTCACAAGATATGTTTGTATTAATTACATATCCAATTAAACTAAATGAAATATGTTAAAGATATGTAATATTTTATATAATGATGCTGGTAATAATATAATGATCATAATGGTAATAAAAATACATTGGTAATTGATTTCACTGCTACTGATGGATGTAGCTGTTATTCTTTATTATCTTAAATGGCAGATATAACAGATTAGAAATGCAGAGCCAATGGCGAGGGGAATATACAATTGTAACGCAGGACCCCAGCTTTTTATTTGCATTATGCAGCATTCAGTGCTGAAACAATGTTAATCCATAAGCTCTTGGCTCAGACAGAAGGAAGTAAGCCACTGCCCCGAGTCCTATGAACTGTGTAAGTCTTCAATAGACCCAATAGGAGGTCACCCATGGTTAGTGGAGCTGCATATTTCATGAGATCTGCATTTATATGTTTCCTGAAAAGCGAGTGACATTTGAGGATACATTCCTTTGCTTAAACACATCTAAGACCAATAGAAAAAGCTAGGTGGGCTTCCTTTTTTTCTTTATGACAAACTTGTATGCTGCATCTAAAAAAACCATAGACTTACTCTGCCCTTAAATAAGAAATCTTATTTTCAACTCCAAATACTTTTTTCTCATTCAAGCCAATAAAAACATTTATTAAATGCAATTGCCCCCTGAAGCATACCTAAAGAAGAGTACTTTAATATCACTTGGGAGAGAAATTGCTATTAAAAATATATGTGTGATTACACAACTTCACAGCCGTACTGGTGAATTATTACACTCCCTGCAACTCTTACAGGTATAGGAAAGGTAGGCCATGAATGGAGTCCTCAGTGGCATGTATAATTTCAAGGGGTGATGGATTTTCCAGGCTGATTTCACTACTGGCCTTCAGCAAGAAGATCCTTGAACATGGCATATTGAAAGC
Source organism: Homo sapiens (assembly GCF_000001405.40). Classification (NCBI taxonomy): domain Eukaryota; kingdom Metazoa; phylum Chordata; class Mammalia; order Primates; family Hominidae; genus Homo; species Homo sapiens. The sequence goes on from NC_000002.12 coordinate 150,056,702, forward strand.
AAATTTGACTCAAACATGCTGTGGCTCTCAGAATGTCAAGACCTTTGGAAATGCAAAGCACTCAAGACAGCCCCACATGATCAAAAATGGCACCAGCATCAATTAATGCCAACAATTGCAATTAGAAAACCACAGATGAATAAGGACATGAGAAGCTCTAATTTCCCGTTGCTTGGGATCTCTGTTTCTGGTGACACCTGTCATGTTTCATTGATATGAATACTTTTGGAGGCTAGTCACCACCTTCTTGAAAATTGCATTTCTGACCAGAGTTCCCAAGGCACGGTGTCAATTTATCTTCATTTGCAATAGCTCCCTGAACAGATGCTGAGCACTCCTAGAGATAGAGCCTTTATATTTGTAGAAGGGTACACCGTAGTCCCAGCTACTCGGGAGGCTGAGGCAGGAGAATGGCGTAAACCCGGAAGGCGGAGCTTGCAGTGAGCGGAGATCGCGCCACAGCACTCCCGCCTGGGCGACAGAACGAGACTCCGTCTCAAAAAAAAAAAAAAAAAAAAAAAAAAGAAGGGTACAAAGCAACGACTAGCTGAAACCATGTAGTTAAATCCAGTCTTTGGGGAAAAATAAGATTAGTTAGTATGTAGGGAAATCAATGTCACAAGCATTGAGAGAAAATAGGACAGTAACACTTGGAAATGCCTTCCTATCAATATTCAGCAAATTAGTGTCAAGAGAAGCAGTCTTACACTTTGGAAATGTAATCTAAAAGACTGAGAAACAATAAAATGTTATACTCATTTTAAAAATGTCATAAGGAAAAATTACACAAGGATGATGAAGGCAGAATGATCTCTTTCTATTTGTCTGTTAATTTTTTTAAAATGTAGTTCCTGTTCATAGTTGCAAACATGTCAGTTTTTAGGGAGAAAGAGGGTGGCAGTTAGAACAAAAGGTTTTCACACAAACACTTCACATTAAATAACATTGTGTAATAAAACATTAATTATGGAAAAGCATCTTCAGATCTACTAGCACTTAACGAAACCCAGAAACTAATTGCTTCTGTCCTTAACTTTCTCATGAAGACATGGAAATCCTGAAGATGGAGATATATTTTCTTGATATCTTTCTCTTTAAAAGAACTTGGAAATCTTAGATATCAATCCAAATCAAATGCAAGTTTGCCCCTGGCAAACTTCAAATATCAGCTTCAGATAGATAAATTTGTGAACTATATGGCAGTTTGGTGTGATGTTGTTTTGGTTTTCTTTCTTTTCTTGGAGGTCTTTTAAGAAAGCATTTTTCTGGACCTTTAGGTTTCACCTAGAGTATTCAACAAAAGTTGTACTACAAGGATGCATATTAAGAGCATAATTTTATACTGGGTTGGTGTTTTTTTTTTTCTTACGTATTAGAATTGAGTTTAACACATGAAATCTTGATGGAGGATCCTAAGTGGTTAATCAAATCTCATCTTTTCATTAATCTAATTTTATTGTTATAGATGTGGTCTCAGCAGTTTATCTTTAGCCGTAATCAGGTTTCATTTTTAATCCAAATAAGTTCAATTGGGTTTTAACTTTTATACATTTTTCTTGTTCTGCCAACATTGATCTAGAGAAGATTAGGATTCTACCAGGGCCTCCTACAAGGCTTCTTTTGTATTGATATTATTTAATTGCTCCTCTTTATGTACTATGTATGTGCCCCATAACCAAGATGAATATGCAGCAGAGGTAGGAGGCGATGGCAGGTTTAAAAGCTAATGACAGGGTAGAGCGGTAGAAAGAGCTGACGACCTTGAAGGGAACAATTCAAGTACCTCATTTGTAAAATGGGGGTATATTAATATTTACCTGATAGGACTGCGGTGATAATGAAATGAGATGGAAGTGTGACACAGAGTGCAGACATTGATAAATGAGTGTTACTCTCATTATGAGGTTCTAAAGTCTGAATGCTGATGTTAAGCTGGTATTAGTAGATAATATTTAATAATGCTTCAAAGAAAACATGATAATTTTTTAGAGAAGGAATTCTGATGTGTCTTTCCTTAGTATTTGGAAAACTAATAGTGCGTGTGAGTAGGATATTTAATTTTATGTATATACAATATTTTGGTGGACAGGAGAAAAGATTGTTCCACAAATGAGTGTGAGTACTGGTGGAGAATGCCACAAAGTAAACCAGGTCTACTGCAGAATTAGGGGAGTGGCAGGCACCCTCCTGTACACTCACTCTTCAAAATTGAAAGGCACTCCTGTCTGAGCCTCACAGCCAACCATGAGTGAATTTCATCAGAAAAGAATAAAAGATAATACCAATCAAAAATCATTCAGCCCAAGTGCCATCTTTGTTAAGTAGACTGTGGTAGGTTTCCTCTGATTTCAAATTCTTTTTTGTTTTAGAGTCACGCTGTCTAATACAGTATTGACTAGCTAAGTGAGTGTCCATTTACATCTAAATTAACTAAAATTAAATAAAAGTAAAGCTTTGTTTCTTCAGTTGCGCTAGCCTCATTTCAAGTCCTCAATAGCCACACGTGATGAGTACCTAAAATTGGCTGGTGCAGCTTTAGAACATTCCCGTCCTTCACAGAAGGCACAGCATTGCCAGACTGTTTCGGAAGGCAGAAGAGACGGGGATGCAGTGATATGGCATCAGCTAGAGAAACACCAAAGTAGGTGTATCGATTCTAGCCCCAAAGTTAACTTGCTCTATGGCCTTATGCTGCTTATTTAACCTCTCTGAGCTTTATTTTCCTCAACTCTTAAGTGAGGATTAATAGTACCTATTTTGTCAACTATATCATGATTATTAAAGGTATGAAAAGTCTGTCTTGGTGTCTGACCCAGAGTAAGTGCCCAGTAAATGGCATTTGTTATAATTATTAATAACAGCAAATGTGGCTGGGCGCGGTGGCTCATGCCTGTAATCCCAGCACTTTGGGAGGCCGATTTGGGCAGATTACAAGGTCAGGAGTTTGAGACCAGCCTGCCTAACATGGTAAAACCCTGTCTCTACTAAAAATACAAAAATTAGCTGGGTGTGGTGGCAGGTGCCTGTAATCCCAGTTACTCAGGATGCTGAGGCAAGAGAATCATTTGAAACCTGGAGGCGGAGGTTGCAGTGAGCTGAGATCACACCACTGCACTCCAGCCTGACGACAGAGCAACACTTCATCTCAAAATAAATAAATAAATAAATAAATAAATAAATAAATAAATAAACAAACAGCAAATGCTAAAATAAATACATTAATTAAAGGCCCTAAATAATGATCACTAAATTGTGGCATTTCTGGCAGACAAGGTAAATATTTAGTGAGATCTTGCCAGCACATTTCAGTTTTATTACAGTGATGTGTGCTTTCCCCAAATGCCACTAATTATAATGGATCTATACTTCTGCATGTCTGTCTTATATATATAGATTCCTTTGCAATTCGGTTTGGAAGTAAGGGAAAAGAATAAGGAACTAGGTGATTTTTTAAAAGAGAAAAGTTTTAGATGTAAATGTTAAATATCCATTTTCAATGCATGATCAACTCTAAGCATGAAAGCTCCTTTCCTATCAAAAACATATCCTTTTGTACAGTTATTAATGTTAGTTTTTTCCTACTTAATATGCAAAATGTACTGTGACAAAAGGTGGCCCCAGGCAGAAAAAAAAGGCCAGAATTGCTCATTACAATGACAATGAAATAATGTTTTCTAGAAAACAATGTTTTCTTTTGTTTTCCCCATCCTGATAGGAAACTGTGAAAACTGAAGCTCTATTCAATTTATCCTTTAGTTCCACTTCAAACGCATTTCTGACAGCCATTTAAAGGCCTTCCCTAAACTGAAATGAATATTTTCCAGACTAGCTTTAAGAATAGAAGCTTGTTTGCCTGATTCTCTAGCAACCAACACAATAACTATCATTGCATAACAAAGCCAGTGGGGATGTGCTGGGGCAGAGGGGATGGTGATAAATAATTCAGATTCCTGGGTTATTTCTGTGGGATCATCAGATATTAATCCTGCATTTCTACTCCAGTCAACTCCAATCATTCTTTTGCCTCTCCAAGTAGCTTTGTTTTGTGAAGAATGCCAAATTCCTTTGCAAGATATTCTCTTTTCTTCTCAAAAAACCTGAGGGATGTTCTGTATTCTATAGCTCTGGATCCTGGTCCAGGATCCCATTGGCCCTGATGGGTGCAATTCCAGTTCCATCTGCTCTGAATTGAGCAGAGGCTGTTTGGTCAAGGTAAGGTCATGTTATGCCAATACTATTGACTGGCATATTGTCAACATTACGCTTGAGAAACATATTTGTCCTGCTGGTGATAATGACAGTTTATGAATGAGTGGATTTTGATATTAGTTAATTAGAAGAAACTTTATTGGAGCATCTGTCACTCAACAGCAAACAATTTTTTCTGTGTGTTGTTCAGATAATTTTCCTTATGGTATAAAAGCTGGCTAATGTAAGAGTGTGTCAACAATCAAGAGATTAAGAAATACACCATTTTTTTTCCTAGAAAATGTAAGGTATGTTTGTATGATGGCATCTAATCAAAACTGTACATAATTAGTAATAATAGAAATAAAGTGAACATATTGAGTCTTATAATGTATCAGCTGCTCTTCTAAGTGCTCTATTAGAGTTTATTCAATATAGGCATAAGTTTTCTAATTATTCTAAATGTCCAAAAATTGAATAAATTATCTTGAGAAATAACTCCACCTAACTTTGAGGAAGAAATAGCAAAAACCTCTTTAAATTTTATAAAAACTGTAAGATGGGGTGATATGCAGAAGTATTACTTTGACTCTCTGAGCTCTAAGCCAATTTACAGAAAGCAGGTTAGGGTGTTTCTGTAAAAATGTAGATGATTAAAGATCCCTGTTTTTTGTTGTTGTTGTTTTGTTTTGTGTGTGTGTGTGTGTGTGTGTGTGTGTGTGTGTGTTTCGTTTTGTTTTGTTTTTTGAGACGGAGTCTCGCTCTGTCGCCCAGGCTGGAGTGCAGTGGCCGGATCTCAGCTCACTGCAAGTTCAGCCTCCAGGGTTCACACCATTCTCCTGCCTCAGTCTCTCGAGTAGCTGGGACTCCAGGTGCCCGCCACCACGCCCGGCTAATTTTTTGTATTTTTAGTAGAGACAGGGTTTCACCATGTTAGCCAGGATGGTCTCGATCTCCTGACCTCATGATCCACCCGCCTTGGCCTCCCAAAGTGTTGGGATTACAGGTGTGAACCACCACGCTCAGCCAAAGATCCCTGTTTTTAAGTTCGCAATTACAGCAAATTCCTCCCGCTTCAGAGTTTGTCCTTTTTCTGTCTTTTTTTGCCTCCTACTTGCTATGTAGTTGATTTTACAATGAAGTGTGTGTCAAAGTCTAGTAGTACCATTATAATAGTAAGGTGAAATCTAATAGCATAAGCAAAATAAAGTGGATTCAAGTAACAAAAATGGCCCCCGGTGAGGAGAAAAGCCTTTGGTAGAATTCTTTGAAACTCCTGAAATTGGAATATACTTTTTTTCCTTTATTTCTGATCTAGATTCACTTCCTGAACCAAGGTTCTGGGGTCCCCTACGAAAAGCTGTGGTGTGAAGTCCTGTCAGTGCCCCTTGACGACTTGCCACACTGACCACTGGGTGCTCTAGTCACCTCCTCAGACCCCAGAGCCTGCCTGGCTCCTATCTGTCCTGGCTCTGCCAATTCCTTGCTGCCTGGCCTTAAGCATATGTCCTGATCTTTCTATGCCTCCATTTTATCATCTGGAAAATGAAGATGATCATGATAGTATTTATCTCATAAGGCAGTTGTGAGGATGAAATGTACATAAAGGGTTACTACTGTGAACAATGCCTGGCAATTGGCTTTTTGGATCATGAACTATACCTCTCTTCTGTTTCCTGGACTGGCCCTAGTTTCCTTGGTTTCTGTTTCAGGTCGATGTCTTCATTTCACCAGGGACAGCAGTGGAAACCGCAGCTTCGGTTTTTTATAACAACAGCCAAAAACTTTTAGGATTTGGAATCCAAATGCAGCTGTCATTTCTGTCTCCAGAACTATTTTTTTTTTCCAAATTAAAATAACCCTATTGACTTTACTCTTTTTTCTAACTTACCTTTTTATGTTTAACAACTGTTCAAAAGAGTAGAAAATGCTTTAGGTATAATTACCCAGATGTGATATGTGTGTGTGTGTGTGTGTGTGTGTGTGTGTGTGTGTGTGTGTGTGGCGTGACAGAGAAAGAGAGAGAGAGGAGAGAGAGGTAGGAGGAAGAAAAGTTTTTACAGAAAGAAATAAACATAAAAACAAAAGTAAGGTGAGACAGCCAGGCAGAGTATGTATTGAGCAGAGGGGGAAGATAAACAGAGGTGACCTGCATATTTCTAATTGGAAAATTGGTGTCACAAAGTTGGCCCATTTTTAACCTTTTTATAACTGAGGTTTTGACGGCAATAGTTCCAACCAGATTTGGTGACAGAAAAGCATTGCCAATCACAGAATCAGAAAAGCAAGGGAGGTAATAAGGGCTCAATGTTAAACATGTCACACTATTAGTAACATAATTTCTCCAGGCAGGGAATGCATGATAAATATATATCCACTAACAGTAAATTCATCTTGCTTGACTCTTTCATAAAGCCCACCCTCATCTCCCTCCCTCTTCTAAGACTGAGATGCACACTCCTTCTCTATTTGTCCATAACACTCTGGGAATATATCTTTCTATAAGAGACACCATTTTTGACATTGCATTATGACTATCTGCTTATGCTTCTTGTCTTGTTTACTAGATGGTGACAGATGATTCTTGACCACATAGCCTATGACTTACTCCCTTACCAACCATTGTCTGGGCTCAGGAAATATTTGTAGAGTGAATAGGATGTGTTGTCATATCTAGTCTCAACTTCATGGCCTGTGCATGTAGTGTACAGCAGAGAGACATCAAGTTAAGATGATAAATTGTCGTTAGGAATTTTAAGCAACATGAGGTTTCTGAAAAGTGTTCACGCTGCTTTAAAGGGCTTCCAAAAACAGGGCTTGCCTGGGCAAGAGCTTCACATGTATTCTATGATTCCTCAAAATATGCTTTGGGATGATGGCCAGAATGACTGGTTGACCTTAAATGCATATGTAACACTGTTAAACAAAGTAGGCTGGCCTGCATAAATGAGGCATTGTGCTAGTCTTCTGTTTCTCCACACTGCATTGAGAGTTGCTTAGATATTTCAATATAGCAATCTTTGCCCTTTACATGTTCTCTTAGAGACTTGTTTGATCATTTCTCTCTTCCACACTCAACAGGGAGTACACACTAAAAGGTTTTCTCCACAATGGCTTTCCCATCCCCTGGCCCTTTTCTTCTGTGGCTCGCATCAAATCTACTTGCATTATACAGATGCTCTGGCAATCGGAGGCAGAGAAAGGCGTCCTGTGGCTGGTGGGCAGGCCTAGGAGAATGAGATGGCAGCATTTACATAGGATGCTGTGCCTCCGCTTCAAGTGCAAATGTCTTTACAATGGACCTTTGTCTATTAGCGTAGAAGAGACTTTAAAAGACTGCTTTAAATAGATGCAGATTCTCAGGGTGAACTCCTATTTCAGGACAGCTTGGCTGGAGCTGCTGAGTAGCTTCTGGGAGCAGATTGAGGATATGATGATGATTTCCCATCTTGGCTGTAATGTAGAGACAGGGAAAGCCTGATGCAGGTTTGTTTTTATGGGGCCTAAAACTGATGCCAAGATAGAAGTTCCTGGTGTTCTGTTTTCCGTCAAATGGCATCAGTGCTGTACATGTAGCCAGATAGAGGAAAATAAATAGGAATGTGAGTGTTTACCTTCAATGACTAAACAATAATTTCAAAAGAAGAGGGTAGGTAGTATTGATGTAAGTTGCACTGTAATAGTTTAACAGAATCAAAGTAACAATGGCATATGTGGCAAGAAGTTGGCATGACAGGTGGTAAGATATCATTTGAAACGCTTTTGCAAATATGTTCCATATTGAATGAGAAACAGACTGATCTAAGACATCTCACAGTCAATTCCATAGGTAAAATATATATGACAAGACATTGACAGTCACCAAGACTGTTGTAGTCATCAGGGCATGGCCATCTGACAAAGCAGAGTGTAGTGGTTGAAACAAGTGCAGATTCTAGAGCCAGATTTCCTGGGTCTGAATCCTGGATCTGTTATTTGTTATCTGTTGACAATAATACTTCCTCATGCCTCAGTTTCTTCTTCTGTAAAATAAGAATGTTAGTAATAGAACTTATCTAATTGGATTCATACAAAGATTATATTAGTCTATTTTTCAAATATATTAACACATCAGTGGTTGACACCTAGTAAGAACTATTTGGATATTTGATTACTAAATAATGGAATCATCAAACACTTCCTCAATATTTTACTATACATTCTCTGAGAGTAAAGCCTCTCTGAATTAAAGCATTTATTATATTTTTCTTTGGTGTTGTGGATGTGTAGAGAGACATGCAAAATGGACTCTGCTCTCAAAGAAATTATAGTCTAGTTGGAAAGCAGAACATACAGCTATGAATGGTTGAACTCTCATAACAAGAAGAACATTATTAAACACGACACATTAAAACAAATACTACATGAAATTAATTTCTGAATGGACATTTAAACAATAGTCATGACAGGACATCAGAAAAAAAGAATTCCCTTTGTTTCTAGATTATTACATAATGCTTGTTAGGGAATGTTCTGGTGGGGGCGGGGGCAGGGGCAGGGTAGCTCTACATGAACCAGCTAATTTCTATCTAAGAGTAATTTACATTCTGAGGAAAATGGAAGGCATGCTTTGGGATGCGACATATATCCTTGGCTGTAAGTCTCTTTTTACTAAAAAGCGTGTATTACCTTGGTCATTCACACATATGTAGTCAGCAAGATATACATACATTACTTATTTAGTAGTAGCGCATTTTATTTCATTTTTTTTTCTTAATGGTTTGTGAGCACAGAAAAAAGATATACTGTTAATCTTCACAGGTTTTCTTGTACTCCATCCAAATTAGTACATCTGGTTCATGTGATACCAGGCTTTGCTTTCCACACCATCAGAAAAAAAAGATTTTTTTTTCTGTTATACAATATGTTTAGAATCCAAACCTACTAAAAATAAAACCAGTATGGCTACTAGCACATAGAAAACAAAATAATGAGTAACACACAGTTAGAAATTATATTGGTTCCCAAATATCTGAGTTGTTCACATAATCAAACTAATGCTCATGACAGCATAATATAATGAAGCAAAAATACCGAACAGAAATTCTTTGATGTTTTTGTTGTTGTGCTGCTGTTTCCTCTTCCCCTCAACTTTCCTTCTCCCGTTTTGTATATTTTCTTTTGCTGCTTTTCCTCACTTTCTCTTCTATTGTTTTTGTCATTCAACATTTTTGCATTTTGCAAAGCCATCATAGATAACAATGTTGCAATCTGAGTTTACTGTGTGTTAGTTACCTGTCATTTATTTAATCTTGGTGCATGTATTTATTTTATAATTAGGAAAGAGAAAACATGCATCAATATTGTTTGTTTGTAAGTGTGACAACATGTATGGTTTTTCTTGAGGTTCTGATTAGTGTAATATAGACAACAGTTTGTAACAGTATGTGCCCATAAGATCCATTTTCATAAATATCTCCATGACATTGTGATAATAGTCTACAGAGAAATGCAGCTAACCTGAAGACTAATCTTGTTGGAATTACTTAATGGACTTAAAATGTCATGCTTTGTGCATTATAGCTTTAGCTGGATAAAAAAAAAAAATGCTCTCTGTATCTAAAGCTCCGTATATCCTATTAAAGTAGAATCATCTTAGCTACCTTGTGCTCACCTTTTAGGATATTACCTTATCTTTAAAAGAGGCTTTTGAATTCACATTTCTCACACCAGGAGCAACTAAAGGCAAGGTAACAAAGTCTTAATATATAATGAAGAATACTGTCAACAGAGCCAAAATGAAATGGAGAAATGGCAATGACCTAGAATCAACAGTGATGAATCATTTAAGCCAAACCATCTACTCTAGGTACTGAATGCTCTTACATGAATATTTATTTGGAGTGAATTCACTAGAGTAATAATTTCTTACAGCAGTTCCCATAGAGCTACCCTATGAAAAATATTTTATTGTTAAATAAGATGGAAATTATAAAATTCTGTATCTGTATCTTAGAAATTTATAATGCACATTAGCCAAAGAACTCCTTAGAGAGAGCCTGCAATTTTTAAGCATTGAGATAGAATTCATATACTATCAGCATACCATTATTAAGTGTACAATTCAGTATAGTTTAATATATTCCCAAGGTTGTAACCAACATTACTATCTAATTTCAGAATATTTTCATCACCTCACAAATCTGCACACTTTAGGCAGCCTTCCCCATTCATCCCTCTCCCCCATCCCCTGGAAAATACTAATCTACTTTCTCTTTCCATTGATTTGTCTATTCTAGAAATTTCATATAAATACAATCATACAATATGTGACTTTTCATATATAATTTCTTCCACATAGCATATTAATTTTGAAATTCATTCATGTTGTAGATGTATCAGTATTATGTTATATTCCTTCTTATGGCTGAATAATATTCCATTGCATGGATATATCACATTTTGTTTAGCCATTCATCATTTGATGGAGATTTGGGTTGTTTCCACCTTTGGGCTACTATGAATAATGCTGCTATGAATGTCTAAGTTTTTGTGTGAATAAGTATTTTCAGTTCTCTTGAGTATCTACCTAAGAGTGAAATTTTGGGAAGACATAGTAACTGTTTAACTTTTAAAGAACTGGAAACTGTTTTTCCTAGCAGCTGTATCATTTTACATTCTCACCAGTAATGTATGAGGGTTCCAATTTCTCCACATCCTCTCCAACATGTATTATTTTCAAGTTATCCTGGTAGATATAAGTTGGTATATAACTGTGGCTTTGATTTGCGTTTCCCAGAAGGCTAATGATGTTGAGCACCTTTAAATATGCTTATTGGACATTTGTATATCTTCTTTGCGGAAATATTTATTCAAATCCTTTGTTCATTTTTAAATTGGGTTGTCTTTTTATTTTGAGTTGTAAGAGTTCTTTATATACTATAGATGGTAGATACTAGACATTTAGCAAATATATGGGTTGCAAGTATTTTATCTTTGTATGAGTTGTCTTTTCGCTTTTTATTATTTTATTTTATATATTTATTTATTAGAGATGGGGTTTACTCTGTTGCCTAGGCTGGTGTGCAGAGGCACGGTCATGGTTCACTGTAGCATTGATTTCCTGGGTTCAAGGGATTCTCCTGCTTTAGCCTCTCAAGTAGCTAGGACACCACTGTACTTGGCTTTTTTTTTTTTTTTTTTTAATGTTTTCGTAGAGACTGGGTTTAGCTATGTTGTCCAGACTGGTCTCAAGTTCCTGGGCTCAAGCTATGGTCCTGCTTTAGCATCCCAAAGTGGTGATATCACAGGTATGAGCCATAGCACCCAACTTCACTTTTTTATTAGTATAATCTTATAGTTAATTTTTAACAAGTGCTTATTTATATTTAATCACAAATTTTCTAATTCTAGTTGACAACAATAAAATAATCTTTTTAAATGCCTTGGTAAATGCTGAGGTAGGCCTATGTTCAACTTTCTCTTTCTTTGGATTATATACATAACACCCTAGCAAAGGAAATCAATACGTAGACATACGACAAAGGACAAAAATGTTCACATTTCAGCCTTGATAAAAGAGTCAAATAGTTATGGTGATCTGTATATATAATAGTAGCACACATTAAAACATAATTCTAGACTATCTTAAATTGATTTTTCTACTAGTCCATGGCAATGAAGTGATGTTAATGGAGAGATAATATATTGCCCTAGTCATCCTATAAATCTCCAGCAGAGAAGGGATTGAATCAATCTTCCAAGTTATAGAGCACCAACAAAATATGCACCACTATTTTCAACCTATAGGTCCTGGTGTAAGTAAGGTAAGATAATCTCAAGGACAGCAAAACAGGAAGTAGAGGAGAGAAGGAGATCCTTTCCAATGCAGGCCTTGGTCTGAGAATTTTTGACTCTGTAAATATCCATGTAGCAGTTGCCTGAGAAAAGACACTGTGAGCTCCAGGTTAGATGACTCTGGGTGATTACTTCAAACTGGTGGAAGCTGAAAAAAAAAGAGGAGCCCTAGGTATTTTACATAGGATAGCTACCAATCTTGCAACAACTTTGCTAGGCAAGTGACATTGCTTCCACTTTACAGTGGAAAACACCTATGGCCAAAGAGGCCAGAGGCCAGTGATTTTCCTAAGCCAAATAGATAAAGGGTATGACTGGAATCATATATCATTTGCACAATAAAGAGAAGATAAACAGTTCTACCTTATTGTTCCAGACTAAGTTCTAAGAGAACAATCTGAAGAATAAACCATTGTCCATCATCATATATGTAAGGGAATTGTAAGATAAGGATCAGTTTGTTCTCATAGGTACCTGAGAAGATTGCAGGAACTCCTTCTCTGGGCCCCCAAAGTACGTTTTACTTATAGTGAATACTAAACACCTTACACAATGCTAGATAATTTTCACATCTGTTTTTTTCTCTTCCTCTGAGAGTTCATGGATGCTATTAATCTTATTCTCTATTGTGTTATCAGAGTTTAATATAGTGTCAGACACATAGTAGAACCTTGTAAATAACTTAGCAAAAGAAGTGCATAAACAATTGCATGGATAAAATAATACAGAAATAATAAGAGTTAACAGTTACATAATTCTTAATATGTGGAGATATTAATATAAACACATTTTATCTATGTACTCACATAAATCATATGTCAAAAAATAGATACACTTCGACCGAGATGGTGGAGTAAGAGATACGAGCCTTCATCCCCCAACAAAAAACAAATATAGACTATTATTCATAAACCAAAACAGTCCTGAGAGGGCTTAAGAACCTATTAAATAATCTACATCAACACAGTAAAGCAAAAAAATGGAGATTATTCACACAGAAAGGATCACCAGTGAGATATGAAATGTGATGGCTGGGAACAAAGAAGATAGCTGGAGGATATTGGTATCAGCTACGTGGCAGACACCACTGTGGTCCCCAGTAGCCTGCTTTGCAGAAGACATCAGCATCTTTTGCCAGTGAGATAATCAACAGCCATTTTCACTGGGGAACCTCAGAGAGAGAGAGAGACATGGCTACGTACTTCCCCTGGCTCAAGAAGCAGCCATTGTTGAAATGCTTCAGATCTGGAACCACCACTTCTCCCAACTCTGCACATGCCCTGATCCCTAAACCATGCCCACCCCACAAGTGCTGACACTCTATACCTGGGTTTTCTGGCTGCACTGTGCCTTCCCATGTCTCAAAAACTGGGGCCATCACCGTATCAATCTAGTTTGCACTCTGGATCCCAGATCCAAGTTTTCTCTAAGCATGTTTGCACCCCAGGTACCAGCTGAGCTGCCACAGAGAGCTAGGCTCTGCCATGATCCGGAAGCTACTGTAACTCTGCATACACTTGTGTTCTTTTTATGGCTTCTTGGCTGCCTCATAAGCATAGGTGCCTTACATTCCATTACCAACAAGGAAAACTGGGGTGCTTGTATCCCAGACACCAGTGCCATCATCATCCCAGAACTCAGAACCTTAGACCTCTCCATGCGTGCTTGTGCTTTAGGCCTTGGACCTGTGACTACTCCATGAGTGCCACTCATTAAACACTGGTGCTGTTGTTACTGCAAGTGGATCCACAAGTGAGATCCAACCCCAAGGGGGATTCCTTTAACCACAACTTCCCTGGTGGGAGAAAGAGATTGGGAGAAATTTAGAGAGCATTGTCATCAAAGACCCCAACAACACTTACCATCACTGTGGCCATCTACATTGATGACCACCAAAATTCCTTAAAAATCTTTATTAACACTGGCCTTAGTTAACAGAATGGCATGGAAACTACTTAACTGTATTCTGACTGGTGCCAGAAATGTTGCACTCCACACAGTCAGCATCTTTGCAACCCTGCTTTTCTCCTCAGAGAAAAGTCTTTCCACACTGAAACTCACCTGTAAAGTCAGGAAAAGATAATTGCCGCATCAAATGTTCAGATATCAGTATAAGGTAACAAGAAACACAAAAAAACAAGGAAACATATTACCACCAAAAGAACACAATAATTTCTCAGTTTCTGACCCCAAAGAGCTGAAGATATATGAACCACCTGACAAAAATTCAAAATAATTGTTTCAAGGAAGCTCAACAAACTTGAAGAAAATACAAAGGAAAAATTCAACAAAATCAAGAAAACAATAAATGAACAAAATAAGATATACAATAAATAAGAAAATATAATAAATTAAATTGTAAAATGCCATAGATAGCACCAACATCTAAATTGATAAAGTAGAGTAACAAAAGCTATAGACTTGAGGTTATTTGAAGATATAGAGTCAGATAAAATAAAGAAGCAAATTAAAAGGAATGAAGAAATTATGAGAAATGTATGGGATAGCATCAAGAGAGCAAACATTTGAATGATAGGGGTGGAAAGAGACAAAGTGACAGAGAAATTATTTAAATAAATAACCACTGAAAACTTTCAAAATCTGGGAGAATAAATAAATGTCCAGGCACACAAAGGTCAACAGTCTCCAATCAGATTCAGTCCAAACAAGAGTATTTCAAGATATATTACAAGCAAACTGTCAAAAATTAAAAAGAAAAAAAGGGAATCATGAAAGCAGCAAGAGAGAAAAAGTATATCACATATAAGCAAGTTCTGATAAGGTTAGCAGTAGATTTCTAAGTATAAATTTCATAAGCCAGGAGAGAAGGAAATAACACATTTGAAGCACTAAAGAAAAAAACTATCAAATTAGAACACTTTACTTGGCAAATGTGTCCTTCAGCTTTGTCCTGAATTTATTTGTTAGTTTTCTGCCTTGATAATCTGTCTAATGCTATGAATGACTCCTCCCTAACTCATTCTACAAGGTCAGCAACAACCTGATACCAAAACCAGGTAAAGACACAATAAAAAAAAGAAAACTACAGGCAAGTCCCCCTGATGAACATAGGTATAAAAATCAACAAAATACTATAAAACCAAATCCAGCAGCACTTGAAAAAGTTAAGGATTCACTACAATCAAGTGGCTTCATTCCTGTATGTGCAGTTGGTTCAGCATGTGTGTAAATCAATAAATGCAATTCACCAAATAAACACAATTAAAAGCAAAAACCATTTGATTATTTAAATAGATGTGGTAAAAGCCTTCAATGAAATCCAACATCCCTTCACAATCGAAACCCTCAACAAATTATGCATCTAAGGGACATACCTTCAAGTAATAAGAGCCATCTATGACAAACCCATAGCTAACATCACACTGAACAGGCAGAAGCTAGAAGCATTCCTCTTGAGAACTAAAACAAGACAAGGGTGCCTACTCTTTTCACTCCTATTCAACGTAGTACCAGAAGTTCTACCCAGAGCAGCCAGGCAACAGAAATAAATAAAAGACTTCCAAATAGGAAAAAAAGATGTCAAACTATCTCTGTTCATTGATGATATGATTCTATAGTAGAAAACCCCTAAAGACTTCACCAAAAGGCTCCAGGAACTTACAAACAACTTCAGTAAAGTTTCAGTATACAAAATCAATGTTCAAAAATCAGTAGTATTTCCATACAGCAATAACTTTCATTCTGAGAGCCAAATCAAGAACACAATTTCGTTTGCAATAGTCACACACACAAAAAAAACTAGGAATACATCTAACCAAGAAAGTGAAAGGTCTCCATAAGGAGAACCACAAAAAATTGCTAAAGGAAATCACAGATGACACAAATAAAAGAAAAAACATTCCATATTCATGGATTAAACGAATCAATATCATTAAAATGGCCATACTGCCCACAGCAATCTACAGATTTAATACTATTCCTACCAAACTACCAATGTCATTCTTCATAGAATTAGGAAACACTATTCCAAAACTCATGAAGAGCCAAAAAAGAGCCCAAACAGCCAAAGAAATCCTAAGCAAAATAAACTAAGCCAGAGGCATCCCATTACCCAGCTTCAAATTATATTACAATGCTGGAGTAACCAAACTGGCATGGTAATGGTACAAAAATAGAAACATCAACAAATAGAACAGGATAGAGAACCCAGAAAGAAAGCCACACACCCAGAACCAACTGATTTTTAACAAAATTGACAAAAATAAGCAATGAGGGAAAGATTTTCTATTCAATAAACAGTGCTGGGACACTTATTTGGCTAGTCATATGAAGATGAATGAAACTGAACCCCTACACTTCACCATATACGAAACTTTATTTAAGATGGAATAAAGATTCAAATATAAGACCTCAAACTATAAGAATCATAGAAGAAAACCTAGGAAACACCATGCTGGACATTGGCCTTGGGAAAGAATTTATGACTAAGTTCTCAAAAGCAATTTCAACAAAAACAAAAATTGACAAGTGGGACCAAATTAAACTAAAGAGCTTCTGCACAGCAAAAGAAACTCAACAAAGTAAAGAGACAACCTATAGAATAGAAGAAAATATTTGCAAACTAAGCATCCAACAAAGGTCTAATATCCAGAATCTATAAGGAACTTAAACAAATTAACAAGGAAAAAACAAACAACTTCATTGAAAAGTGGGGAAAGGCCATGAGCAGACCCTTTGCAGAAGAAGACATACAAGCAGCCAACAAATATGAAAAAATGGTTAACATCACTAATCATCAGAGAAATGCAAATCAAAATCACAATCAAATAGCATCTCACAAGAGTGAGAATGGTTATTACTAAAACGTCAAAAAACAACAGGTGCTGGTGAGGCTGGATGGAAGGGAAATGCTCATACAATGCTGGTGGGAATGTGAAGTAGTTCAGTCACAGTGGAAAGCAGTTTGGAGATTTCTCAATGAAATAGAACTACCACTTAACTAAGCAATCCCATTACTGGGTATATATCCAAAAGAAAATAAATTATTCTACCAAAAACACACAAGCACTCATATGTTCATTACAGCACTATTCATAATAGCAAACACATGCAATCAACCCAGGTGTTCATCAACGGTTGATTGAATAAAGAAAATATGGTACATGTACACTATGAAATACTATGCAACCATAAAAAAGAAAGAAATCATGTCTTTAGAAGCAACATGGATGCAACTGAAGGCTATTATCCTAATCAAATTAATGCAGGAACAGAAAACCAAATACCACATGTTATCATTTATAAGTGGGAACTAAGCATTGGCTATTCATGGACACAAAAATGGCAACAATAGACAATGGGGACTGCTAGAAGGGGGAGGAAAGTCAAGGGGCAAGGATTGAAAAACTATTGGGTACTATGCTCACTACCTGTGTGACAGGATTACAACTGGAACAAAGACCTGAATAGTCTTTCCCAGAAGAATACATGCAAATGGCCACAGGTATTTGAAAAAGTGCTCAACATCACTAATTATCAGAGAAATGCAAATCAAAATCACAATGAGACAGTACTTCATACCTGTTAAAATGGCTACTGTCAAAAAGACAAGAGATTATAAGTGTTGACAAAGATATGGAAAAAAAGGAAACCACTGAACACTGTTGATGGAAATGTAAATTAAAATAGTCATTATGGAAAACAGTTGGACATTCCTCAAAAAAATTACAAATAAAACCACCATTTGATCAAGCAATCTTACTATTGGGCATATAGCTGAAGAAAATAAAATCTGCCTGTCAAAGACATATCTGCACTCTTACGTTTATTGCAGCATTATTTATTGTAGCTAGAATATGGAATCAACCTAAGTATTCATCAACAGATTAATGAATAATGAAAATGTGGTATATATACACAATGAAATACTACTCAGCCTCAAAACCAAATGAAATTCTATCATTTATGACAAAGTGGATGAACTCAGATGATGTTATGCCTATTGAAATAAGCCAGGCAGTGAAAGACAAATATCTCATGATCTTATATATATGTGAAATCTAAAAAAGTTTAACTCCTAAAACAGATAGTAGAATAGTGGATACCAGAGGTTATTGATTGGGTGGAGGCTTGAGGAGATGTTGGTCAGAGGACACAACATTTTAGTTAGCTAGGAAGAATAAGTTCAAGAATAAGTTAGCTAGGAAGAATAAGTTCAAGACATCTCTAAATCATAGAGACTATAGTTAATAATAATATATTGCATGCTTTAAAATTGCTATGAAAACAGATTTTAAATTTTCTCACAACAAATAAGTATGTGAGATAAAAACATGTTAATTAGTGCAATTTAGCCATTAGCAATGTACACATATATCAAACATCATGTTTTACACCATAAATACATACTATTTTTGTCAATTAAATAAGAAACACATGTAAGTGCCTTCATTTTACAAATGAGAAAATTGGGATTCAAGAGTCTAGATCTGCAGCCCATGCTTTTAGTCACTATGTTGACAAGCTTTTCCCCAAACCAAAATGGAAACAAAACAAAACCTGTTTGTGGTGTCATAAATTATTCAGGATCCAAAAAGTAATGACCTCACAATCCAGACTTTGGGACCTTATGTAGCAGCATTTCTTAGCAAATACACATTCAACTGAAGGTGATGCAGTGAATGCTAAAAACCAGTGTATTAGTCAGGGTTCTCCAGAGAAACAGAACTAATAGGATATACGGATAGAGATATACTCTAAGAGATTTATTATGAAGGATTAACTCACTCCAATTCAGACACTGAGAAATCTCATGATCTGCCTTCCATAAACTGGAGGTCCAGGAAAGCTGGAGATATAGATTCCGTCCAAGGCCAAAAGCCTAAGAACCAGCAGTCTAAGGGAAGGAGAAGATTGAAGTCCCATCTCAAGCAGAAAGAACAAATTCACTCTTCTTCCACCTTCTACCTTTCTATTCTATTTGCATCCTGAAGGAATTAGATGATGTCCACCCACATTGGGGGCCTACCAATTCAAATGTCAATCTCTTCTGAAAACACTCTCACACAGACACAGCCAGAAATAATGTTTAATAAGATGTCTGGGCATCCCGTGGCCCAGTCAACTTGACACATAAACTTAACCACAACCAGTTCTCCATATTTTCCCTTCTCCTTCCTCCATTGATGACTGTTGCAGGCTGCAGGAAGGCCAGGGTCACTGCGGACTTCATCCATGCCTGCTTCTGGGAGCAACACAGAAGCCAGAGTTGCTCATAGAAAGAATAGATCCCCAGAATGGTCAAGGAAGCCATTCAGATGATTCAGCAGATGAACAGCACCTTAGCAGTAGTGACTGGATGTTTTGAATGTATTTGTTCTGACTCTGAAACTACACATCATCTTTGGTAAAGTGATTCAGCCTCGACATTATGCCACTGTCTAATACATAGATAATATAAAACACAGACTACCATTTCTCCTGCTTACTTAGGGCAAATGCTAACTGGGAAAGGGGGTTTAAGAGGTACAGGATTTGTTCTGTTCTCAGGAGATCATAAAAACATCTGTCCAAGTATCTTTATCTCAGTGATCTCCTGAGGGAAACAGTCTAAGTCTGAATTACTTAAAGCAAGCACAGTAGATGATCTTTCCACTCTCACATGGTTGCAGATGACTACTGTGTTGCTAATTTCTCTCTCAGTGTAGAAAAAGTGCAGCCCTGTTTAAGACCAAACAGATACATCACTGAGTGTTCAGCTTCTCAACTTATCATTGGTATTATAAATCCACTGATTCACAAATTTACTTAGCTGCTTATTGGAATTACGCATGGAGCTTAAAAAATACTGATGTCTGCATTCTTCCCTGGCACATTCCAATTTAAATATCCTGGGGTGGGGCCTGGATACAGAGATTATTGCAAGCTCCAGAATGGCTCTACTATGCAGTCACCACTGAAACCCACTGTCTTGGAGTGCTGTTTATAAACTGCTCATGCACAAATAAGCATGTTTACTACATACTTTGACAAGCTTTTTTTTTTTTGATATCTTGCAAAGTAAGAGTCAAATGAGGTAATGTCTGCAAATTGCTCAGCAAAGTTTCTGGCAAAAAAATAAGATCTCAATAAATACTAATCCTTATTTGCCCCAAATACTAATCCTTATTTGTGCACATGAGTGCACACACACACCCAGCATTACCACCCTACAATCAAACCACAAGTTAATAACATTACAGAAAATTTTTAGTATAAAGATATATATATATATATATATAAAGTTCACTTTTTTTGTCCTAACTGTACAAAATTGTTATAAATTATAGCTCATTTTTCTGCTTAAGGATGTGAAGTCTAAATGACAAAAACATATCTTCTTTGGATGTTTGGGTGTTGCTTTAGAATTTTTTAATAATTCATATTATTTCAATTTTAATAATTTATTTAACCCAAACTATCCAAAATATTATCACTTAAATATGTAATTGTCTTAAAATGTTATCACAGATATTTTAGATTTTTTTGTACTAAATTTTCAAGTTGTTATGTATTCTACATTTATAGCACATCTTTTTTTTTTTTTTCTTAATTATACTTTAAGTTCTAGGGTACATGAGCACAATGTGCAGGTTTGTTACATAGGTATACATGTGCCATGTTGGTTTGCTGCACCCATCAACTCATAATTTACATTAGGTATTTCTCCTACTGCCATCCCTCCCTCAGCCCCCCACCCTCCGACAGGCCCTGGTGTGTGATGTTCCCCGCCCTGTGTCCATGTGTTCTCATTGTTCAACTCCCACCTGTGAATGAGAACATGCAGTGTTTGGTTGTCTGTCCTTGTGACAGTTTGCTTAGAATGATGGTTTCCAGCTTCATCCATGTCCCTGCAAAGGACATGAACTCATCCTTTTTCATGGCTGCATAGAATTCCATGGTGTATATGTGCCACATTTTTTAAATCCAGTCTATCATTGATGGACATTTGGGTTGGTTCCAAGTCTTTGCTATTGTGAATAGTGCCGCAATACATATATGTGTCCATGTGTCTTTGTAGTAGCATGATTTATAATCCTTTGGGTATATACCCAGTAATGGGACCGCTGGGTCAAATGGTATTTCTAGTTCTAGATCCTTGAGGAATCGCCACACTGTCTTCCACAATGGTTGAACTAATTTACACTCCCACCAACAATGTAAAAGAGTTCCTATTTCTCCACATCCTCTCCAGCATCCGCTGTTTCCTGACGTTTTAATGATCACCATTCCAACTGGCGTGAGATGGTATCTCACTGTGGTTCTGATTTGCATTTCTCTAAGGACCAGTGATGATGAGCCTTTTTTCATACGTCTGTTGGCTGCATAAATGTCTTCTTTTGAGAAGTGTCTGTTCATATCCTTTGCCCACTTTTTGATGGGGCTGTTTGTTTGTTTTCTTGTAAATTTGTTTAAGTTCTTTGTAGATTCTGGATATTAGCCCTTTGCCAGATGGGTAGATTGCAAAGATTTTCTCCCATTCTGTAAGTTGCCTGTTCACTCTGATGATAGTTTCTTTTGCTGTGCAGAAACTCTTTAGTTTAACTAGATCTCATTTGTCTATTTTGGCTTTTGTTGCCATTGCTTTTGGAGTTTTAGTCATGAAGTCTTTGCCCATGCCTATGTCCTGAATGGTATTGCCTAGGTTTTCTTCTAGGGTTTTTACGGTGTTAGGTCTTACATTTAAGTCTTTAAACCATCTTGAGTTAATTTTTGTATATGGTGTAAGGAAGAGATATATAACATATATATAATATATAATGTAATTCATATTATTTTCTACATATGGATAGTACTAGGAAGCTTAAATATGGGAATTCAGGCCTTATTCAAAAATTAATGTTCTATTTTAATAAACTCTAGTTATTTAATTTTTAGTAATTTGCCTGTTATCCCTCACTATGGAACATTAAAAGAAATTTGGTCAATTTAAAGTCCTGGACAGATGATTATTATTATTTTAAATGCATTAAAATTGAAGAAAAGGAAGTCAAATTGTCCCTCTTTGCAGATGACATGATTTTATATCTACTAATCCTAAAAAATGTTAAAACTAATAATTTCAGTAACACGGCAGGATACAAAATCTACATACAAAAATCAGTAGTGTTTCTATACACCAATAATGACCTGGCTATAAAAGAAATCAAGATGGCAATTCAATTTATAAAATCAGTAGCTAAAAAATAAAATAAAATAAAATGCCTAGGAATAAATTTAACCAAGCAGGTTAAAGACATCTATAAGAAAAATGAAAAAACATGGATGAAAGAAATTAAAGAGGATATAATGGAAAAACATCCTATACTTATGGATCAGAAGAATTTATATCATTAAAATGACCATACTTCCCAAAGCAATCTACAAATTCAATGCAATCCTTATCAAAATATGTCATTTTTCACAGAAAAAAAAATCCTAAAATTTATATATAACCAAAACAGAAACCAAATAACAAAAGCAATCAAACACAAAACAAAACTTGAGTCATCACACTGTCTGACTTCAAAATATATTTTAAGTCTCAAGTAACCAAAACAGCATAATATTGGTATAAAAACAGACACAGAGATCAATGAAACAGAATAAAGAGTCCAGAAATAAATCTAAATCCATGTATTTACAGTCAAATGATTTTCAATAAAGGAGCATACCTTGAGGAAAGGACATCCTCTTCATTAAATGGTTTTGGGAAAATTGGACATTCATATGCAGAAAAAAAAGTTGGACCCCTGTCTTTCACCATACATAAAGATCAACTCAATTTGGATTAAAGGCTTAAATATAAAACCAATATATAAAACCATTAGAAGAAAACATAAGGGAAACATTTCAGGACATTGGTCTAGGCAAAGATTTTATGACTAAGACCTTAAAAGCACAGGCAACAAAAATAAGGAAAAGACAAATGGGGCTGTAATAAATTAAAAATCTTCTGCATAGCAAAGAAAAAAATCAACAGAGTGAAGAGACAACCTACAGAATAGTAGAAAATACCTATAAACTCTTTGTACAACAAGGGACTAATATCCAGAATATACAAGTAACTCAAACAATTCAACAGAAAAAAAAAATCCCATTAAAAGTGGGTAAAGCCTGTAATCCCAGCACTTTGGGAGGCCGAGGAGGGTGGATCACTTGAGGTCAGGAGTTCGAGACCAAACTGACCAACATGGCAAAACCCCATCTCTACTAAAAACGCAAAAATTAGCTGGGGATAGTGGCAAGTGCCTGTAATCCTAGCTACTCAGGAGGCTGGGACATGAGAATAGCTTGAACCCAGGAGGCGGAGGTTGCAGTGAGCCGAGATCGCACCATTGCACTCCAGCCTGGGTGACAGAGTGAGACTCTGTCTCAAAAAAAAAAAAAAGAAAGAAAGAAAGTGGGTAAAGGACATGAATAGACATTTCTCAAAAGAAGACATACAAATGGCCAACAGATATAGGAAAAAATGCTTCACATCACTAATCATCAGAGAAATGCAAATCAAAACCACAATGAGATATTATCTTAGTCCTGTGAGAGGCTATTATTAAAAAGACAAAATAAATAACAGATCCTGGTGAGGATGTGGAGAAAGGGGAACTCTTGTACATTGTCAGTGGAAATGTAAATTAGTACAGCTACTATGGAAAACAGTATGGAGATTTTTTTAAAAACTAAAAATAGAACTAACATATGACTCAGCAATTCCACTACTGGGTATTTATCCAAAGGAAAAGAAATCAGTATATCAAAGGAGTAACTGCACTCACATGTTTATCACAGCACTATTCACAATAGCCCAGATATGGAATCAATATAAATATCTATCAATAGATGAATGGATAAAGAAAATAAGGTATATATACACAATAGAAGACTATTTGGTCACAACAAAAAAAAAAAATTATATTATTTGCATCAACGTGGATGGAACTGGAGGTCATTATGTTAAGTGAAATAAGCCCTGGACAGAAAAACAAACATCACATGTTCTCACATATGAGGGAGATAAAAACATTAATTTCATGGAGGTAGAGAATAGAATGATAGATACCAGAGGCTGGAAGGGTATGTGTGGGCAAGGGCAGAGGAAGGCAGGGAGGAATAAAAAAGAGGTTGGTTAATAGGTACAAACATAGAGTTAGAAGGAATAAATTCTAATGTTCAAAAGCAGAGCTGGTTGACTATAGTTAACAATATATTGCATATTTCAAAATAGCTAGAAGAAAGGACTGAAATGACCCCAGAACAAAGAAATGGTAAATACTCAAGGTGATGGACATCCCAAACACTCTGACTTAATCTTTATACAGTCTCTGTGTGGAACAAAATATCATGTATGTATCCATATGTATCCCATTAACATGTACAAATATTTGTTTCAATAAAAAATGCTACTAGAAAAAATGTTTTTATTGTATTTCTGAGTATTTTTACCAAGAAACTTGCTGTTGCATATATGTTCATTTAGAACCTGTTCAAACTTACAGGAAATTGCATAAATTGTGTTGTCATCGATAGAATATTTTTTATTGATCTGCTGCCCCATAGATTTTTGAGCTCCCACTTAGTGCCACTGGAGGCACACCTTAAGGACCAAGGTATCCCATTAGCTGAGAAGGTAATGGCTATGTTAAGACATTCAAGCAATGGATGGGAATGGGAAGTAAGTTGTTCAGAGATACTTTTTTTTTTAAGCATATGCTTTTTGTTTATGCTTTGTTGACCTTGATGTATGGAAGGGCTTGACATATCCAAAAACTGGAGGTAGGATATTATGACAGACTCAAAAAGCTAAATAGAGCTTATTAGGCAGTGAAGCTGGAGAGACAGATAAGTTTAGATCTATATCTTTGTGGAGACTTGATTCTTCATGTTGATTCTTTCAGACATCTACTCAACTCCAGTCTGATTTGGCTTTACAGTAGAGGTCAACTATTTCCATAATAATTCTGTTTAACAAACCAATCCAAAACTCAGTGGCTTAAAACACAATTATTTATTCTCTCTCACACATCTGCAAGTTGACTGGAAACGAACTGCTCTGGACTGGTTTAGGCTCTAAGCTTCAAGTTAGGGTGAGGTTTGTTCCATGAGTTTTTCTTCTTCCCTGGACCAGTCAGCTACCTCGATAGTTCCTCTCATGGCCAGGGCAAAGTGTAAGTGGGTAAATCCAATTACCTAAGCACATTTCAAGCCTCTGCATGAATAATGTCTGCTAATGTCTCCTTGCTTGGCCAAAGCAAGTCACATGGTGTGCTCTGAGTCAAGAGTCAGGGAAGTATACTCTATCTATAGTAGGAGGAAATACAAGGTTATATGAGTTAAATGGTTAAAGGTACGGATGTAGAGTGAGGTAAGACATTTGGGCTAAAAATGCAATTTACCATACTTTAAGGTGAGGTTTTGGTGATTCATTATTTTACACTGTCCGGGTCACCCAGTATCACCCATATTGTCTTCCTGTTAAGGGGACAACTTGGCCTTTGTTGACACTGACATTTCATCTGGTCCTTTTCCTCTTACCCTGCATGAGTTATTCCCCAAAAGAAAGAATAAGAACAGTAATCACTATTCATTTACTTAGGGAAAACATCTGGAGGATTGTTTTTGTTTTTCTTCAGTTTTCATCTGGATGTCTGGCATTGTGTCAAGGTTTTACTCTGAGAAGCTTTAAAAAGCGAGTCCAGTTAGTGTGTTACTTCCTCTCCACTTTGTAATAATACACTAGAGTCTTGCTCAAATGCCACCCCTGGGATGCATGCTAGGAACCATGTTATAGAGGAAAGAGCAGGATAAATTCCTTCTGATGTTCATTCACAACAGTAAATTCCCTCGTAAACCTAAACCAATGGCCCACTTTAGAAATCATCCTGGGCCTTACTTTGTCACATTACAATGAGATTCTAATGTGCAGGAGACCCTGGGTATCCTTGGATTTAACTGTCACAGTTTCTTCTACTTGCTAATTACCCATGGGAACACAGTGGGTGATCACTTGTCATTTTTGTTGCAATACATATTTGAGTGCCCTTTGTTCACATCTTGGTGCCACAGTTTTGTTCTCTAATTGTTGTTTCTTTATCTTTTCTTAGGGAAAATTAACTTTACTAACAGTATTTCAAATTTGGAAAATTTCCAGATATCTTAGGATATAACTCTTTTGATTCCTGGAAGTCTTTCTTGATCTTTTTTTTTTTCAGAAAAAAAAGATGATTATAAATTCAAGTTTGATACTTCAAATAAAATAAAGCAAAAAAAAAAAAAAACTTCAGGGCAGCTTTGATATATATTTAGTGAATAATAGATATGCATATGCTATCTTTGCTCCTGAACTGG
This sequence comes from Homo sapiens, assembly GCF_000001405.40. Classification (NCBI taxonomy): domain Eukaryota; kingdom Metazoa; phylum Chordata; class Mammalia; order Primates; family Hominidae; genus Homo; species Homo sapiens. The sequence goes on from NC_000002.12 coordinate 150,083,048, forward strand.
TTTTTCTGCATGAACAAAGCACATATAAAATTAATATGTTAAAGATATGGCCTGTGGTATAATCAGGTATAGGGAGAACTGCAGCAGAAGGAGCAATGTATGAGAAACTAAGACCTGACAGGAAAGAGGCAGGCATTGAAAAAACAACAACAAAAACGGGGGGACAGATCAAGTTAAACAAAGGGAAAGTAAAATTAGGAGATCATAGAAATATCCTACACGTGACCATGAAGGTAAGCAATTAGCAAAACCATCAAGAAGTTTCAGGATGCCATATCAGAACTCAGGACCCAAGAATCTAGATTTAGTCATTTCAGGTCCATGTCCGTGGGTCACCTTCCACTACATTTTATGCCACTAAAAGGAAGGACCCATATTCTGCTGTATTTTTTTTTTATATCTCTGCTTTCTAGCACACTATTTGACTCGAAATTGGTACTTTATACATGCCTGGTGAATGAGTAAATGTGCATAAATGAACATACGAAAATCTGTCAATGAATAACAAGACCCAGCCTTTCAGGATGGTGTTAAAAGCAGAAGTCTCTTATCTGCTGGGCAGTTTGGAGAAGGCCATGGAGACCAAGGCAGACTGACCTTCAGTGGAGAGTGATAGTAGACATGGGATCAAGAGAAGTGGCCGGGCACGGTGGCTCACGCCTGTAATCTGAGCACTTTGAGAGGCCGAAGTGGGAGAATCACGAGGTCAGGAAATTGAGACCATCCTGGCCAACATGGTGAAACTCCGTCTCTACTAAAAACCCAAAAATTAGCTGGGCGTGGTGGCGTGTGCCTGTAATCCAGCTACTAAGGAGGCTGAGGCAGGAGAATCGCTTGAACCTGGGAGGCAGAGTTTGCAGTGAGCCAAGATCGCGCCACTGCACTCCAGCCTGAGTGACAGAGCAAGACTCCGTCTCAAAAAAAAAAAAAAAAAAAAAAAAAAAAAGAGAAGTACTAGAGTCCAGGCATTAAAAACGATCTGCTTGCAGGTCTGAGGAACAAGGTAAGAATGTAGCATGGCAAGAGATGTCACGTTAGAGTGGGGTTGTAAGGTGGCAGCAGGGCAAGGAGGACTTCCTACTGCATGCCCTAAGAATTGAATTAAAGTTTCTTAACATCCCCAGCCAAGTACACTTACTACCCCACAGCCAGAGGTAAGGGTCAAGTGACCTGCAATGATGGAAAGAAAGGTATATTTGGTTAGGAGACTTGTGAGATCACATAACTATATATTCTTTTTCGAAATATCAATAAATGTTGAAGAAAGTGTAATTTTCTTAGTCAATTTGAATAATGCTTAAAACCCTAATCAACACATGCTGTCTGATTTTGTTATGTGGTTGAAATGAGAGCAGTTCATCAAATAAGAATAAATAAAATATTCTGAATCCTTACTTAAAAGCCTCAAAGGACACTGTAGAAAATCTACTTCATGCTGTATTTTTACAATCCTCTTTTTCTACAAAAATAAAACTCTTTTTCCACTTTTTCCATAAAAAAGTGAATAAAGTATAAAATTTTTAAAGTTGAGAAAAGGACAACTAAATAAATGTAAGAAAAAAGGAAGAAAGAAAAATAAAATAGTAGAAATAAGTAAATTAGAAAACAGGAAGCAAAAGATAAAACTATTAATTGAGTCCATGATTTGGTTTCTGGAGAGAAAAAAAGAGAGAAACATCATGAGAGCAAAAACAAGAGGAACAGAGAGAAAGAGATAGAGGAATAGTGAGCAAAATGTGGGGGGAAGAGAGAGAGAGAGCAAACCATTAGCTAAACTAATAAAAAATAAACAAAGGTATGGTGTATAAAGAGAGAAAAAAACATGAATGTACAAAATTATCTATTAGAATAGAGAAAATAGGCACAGATACAAAGAAATTTTACTTTGCTCCATTCTGTAGAAAAAAAATTTGAAAGCTAGGTTCAAAGGAACAAATTGCCAAAATATATCCTGGTAAAAATATGAAGTTAAAATGAAAAAGTTGTCAGGAGAACATCAAAAACAAAAGTACTTGGTTCAGACATTTTTTACAGTTGAATCTATAAAATCTGTAAGAAATAAGAAATCTAATCTTATCTGAAAATGTTTCAGCCTGGGCGCGGTGGCTCACGCCCATAATCCCAGCACTTTGGGAGGCCAAGGCGGTTGGATCACCTGAGGTCAGGAGTTTGAGACCAGCCTGGCTGACATGGTGAAACCCTGTCTCTACTAAAAATAAAAAAAAAAATAGCCAGACATGGTGGTGCACACCTGTTGTCCCAGCTACTTGGGAGGCTGAGACAGGAGAATCACTTGAACCCAGAAGGTGGAGGTTGCAGTGAGCTAAAATCATGCCATTGGCTCCAGCCTGGGTGACAGAGCCAGACTCCATCTCAAATAAAATGAAAAAAAAAAAAAAGGAAAATGTTTTTGAAAATAGAGAAAAAAGGTAAAGTTTATGTACTTGTTTTATGAAGCTCCTGTTACCAAAACCTGACAAAATAGCATGGTGCAATAAAATTAAATAAAAACATTATTTTATTATAGCAAAAACCAAAAGCAGCATATTGTCAAATAAACCACAGTCACATGCTATAAGATAATGTACCACAAACATATGGAGTTTATACCAGGAATGCAGGGATAGTTCAATATACGGTGCTCTAGTAACACAATGTGCATAATTAGAGATCCCAGGACAGCACTCATTTGACTATCTCCATAAATGCCAAAAGGCATTTGATAAATGTCTTTTATAACAGAAATTGATTTATAATCTCCCAATAATAACATTGAATCGACATAAGCTCAATGGTAAAATACTAAAAAAATTTTCATTAAAATGAGATATAAGCTAGATGTCTACCATCTTTATTAGTTTTAATTTTCTGTAAGCATTAGAAATACCCTTAGCCAAAACAGAATAATAAGAAGCATAATGATTAGAAGGAATGACGCTAACTTATTATTATTATTTTATTTATTTATTTTTTTTTGAGACGGAGTCTCACTCTGTAGCCCAGGCTGGAGTGCAGTGGCGCGATCTCGGCTCACTGCAAGCTCCGTCTCCTGGGTTCACGCCATTCTCCTGCCTCAGCCTCCCAAGTAGCTGGGACTACAGATGCCCACCACCATGCCTGGCTAATTTTTTTGTATTTTTAGTAGATACAGGGTTTCACCGTGTTAGCCAGGATGGTCTCAATCTCCCGACCTCATGATCCACCCCTCTTGGCCTCCCAAAGTGCTGGGATTACAGGTGTGAGCCACCACGCCTGGCCAATTTTTATTATTTGCAGATAAGTTTTGACAAATGAGGAAAAACAACTATAACACCATTATAATTAAACATTCAGTAGCTTGACTGTAGAAGATTAATATACAATTGTTTTTCTAAATGTAAATCATAATTGGTAGGAAAATATAATGGAATAAAAATTCCATCTATTAAAAAAAGGTAAAATACCTAGAAACAAATGCCCCAGATCTATTTGGAAGAAAACAAAAACAAAAACAACAACTTCACTGTTGCATCTAAAAGACTTAAGTAAATATGAAGAAGTGACTTATTCTCAGATAACAGTGATCAGCTTTCTATCAATAGAATAGTGTTTCTCGACTGTATTTTCATTGTAGTCTTTCTAAGGAGATTTTTAAAAATATTTTTTTCTTAATCACTTCCTCCCATTAGATTTTAATACTACAGGTATACTAAATATATATTTTTTTATTTATTACATATATATCTGTTCTTTAAACATAAAAAGAGTAAGTGTTTTTCTCTCCAAACCAATCTTTGTCCTTTTAGGGGTAATATCACCTCTGTTCAGAATATACAAAATAGACCTTCTCCCTTAATTAATTCATAACTTTAATTCAGTCACAATCAAAATACCAACAATAATTTTTGACAAGAATTCCAATTTATAAGACTGCAGAAAAGTTTCAAAGAATAAGAATAATAATAAATACTAGGCCTTCTAATTATTAGACATATTATAGGATACCAGTAATAAACATTCTATAATAGATTTTCCAGAGTAGACATTTCATAAATAGAGCCAATACATGGTGAAATTTAATTGTGATCAAAAAATGAATTATCAAAAAAATGGAATTGGAACAAATAACTAGCCAGAGGAGTAAGACTGAGAAGTTGGGTCTCTAATCACACTTTTTATACAAAAATAAATAAAATGGTTTAAAGGTTTTAATGCAAAATGAGATACTATATAAGTAATAGGAGAAAATATAGGATAATTATTTATAGCTTCTTGGAGGAAAAGCCTGTGGAGTAAGAAACAAAACCCAGAAAACATAATAAAATTAAACTCTTTGCATAAAAATTAAAATATTTGCATGGTTAAAACACCATAAACTTAAAAGACAAAACATACCAGAATAAAATATATTTGCATTGTATATGGAAAAAGGCTATATCCATAAGATACATTGAGCTCTAGTAAATCAGTGAAAAAAATAGCAATGATCCCAGAGAAATGGACAAGAAACGCAGAAGAAAAGGAATACAGTTTATAAATGTAAGAGAAAAATGTTTATCCTCAAAATAAAACTTGAGGGAGACTTTTTTTTCATGTATCAAAGTGGCAAGGGTCAAAATATTTTGTAAAATAGTGTGTCACCGGGATTGTGTAGAAACAGAAATTCTTACCCATTGTTATTGGATGTATAAATCAGCAAAGTTTATGTTTAGCATAATTTGTCAATTTCTATGAAAAGTAAAAATTTACATACCCCTTGACCAATATTTTCAGATCTAAGTATTTATACTACAGATATATTGATACATTGTCTTTGTAATTCAAGACTCTTTTTTCAAGAATGTTTATTGCAGCATTTTTGTAACAGCAAAGAAGCGCTAAATATCCAATAATAAGAGAAATAATAATAAGAGAGGGAAAGGTAGAGAGAGTTGAGGACAGAAGATATCCATATATAGAGAGATACTCTATACAGATCTCTCTATATAGATAGGTATCTCCTATCTCTCTCTCTATATATATATGTATATATATAAAATGTATATCTTTTCTCTTATTATTGGATATTTAGCGCTTTGCTCTTACAACAATGCTGCAGTAAACATTCTTGAAAAAAGAGTCTTGAACTACAAAGACAATGTATCAATATATCTGTAGTATAAATACTTAGATCTGAAAATATTGGTCAAGGGGTATGTAAATTTCTACTTTTCATAGAAATTGACAAATTATGCTAAACATAAACTTTGCTGATTTATACATCCAGTAACAATGGGTAAGAATTTCTGTTTCTACACATTCCCGGTGACACATTTTATATACATATATATATATGTGTGTGTGTGTGTATATATACATTTATTTATAAATATATATTTATATAAATACATTTATAATTATATATGAATGTATTTATATAAAACTTTATATATAAATTATATAATAACTTTATGTATGTATATAACTTTATATATATAGAGAGAGTGAGAGAGTATCTTTCTATATAGGTAGATATCTCCTACCGAATCTGTTTCTCTGGAGAACATTGATATAGTATGTTATTATACCTTTTAACAAAACTTGATGAACATGTTACAATTATGTAGTCAACATCTGTCTCTGGAAGGACATTCCAGAGTGTGATAATAGTGCTTGTGTAAATATGTTACTCAAAGTTTGGTTTCCTGCAGGGCAGCATCAACTGGAAGTGTGTAAGCAATGCAGACACCCAGTTCCCACCCACTCCAGACCTGTGGAATTGGAATCTGCATTTTAATAAACTTCAGCCTTTGAGAAGCAGGAGCATGGGGGATGGGGCCTGGGAGATAAGGGTTCAGATGAAAGGCGGCAACTTCTTCAGCCTAGACCCTCACGCATTGGCTGAACTTTCCTCTCTTCCCTTTCTTCAGTCCCCTCCCTCCCTAACTTGCCAGGTTCAAGGGGCACAGCTACTCTCTAGCCCCTCTCCTTTCTTACTTTCAAACCATTTCTCACATGCTGCCTATTGTGACCTTTTCTCTTAACAATTTTCTTTCCCTCTTTTGGAAGTAAATCACAGTAGTCCAATTAACTTCTTCTCATTTCTGGGATTTCCCCACCCCCAACCTTTGATGACCCCATCTCCATAACACTTAGGACCATGGGGACAGAGAGCTTGGGGTGCATAGAGCAGACACTGCCTAGTTGGCATTGCTCACTTTCCTCAGCAGTTGTCGGGTAGGGGCTGAGCTGTCCAGGAAGAGGGGTGGGATAATTTGGAAATTTTTGTTTTCATTTTTGCTTTTGTGTGCTCATATTGTGTTTTAGGTAGAAATTTTTTTTTTTTTTTTTTTTTTTTTGAGATGGAGTCTTGCTCTGTCACCCAGGCTGGAGTGCAATGGTGCAATCTCTGCTCACTGCAAGCTCTGCCTCCCAGGCTCACGCCATTCTCCTGCCTCAGCCTCCCGAGTAGCTGGGACTACAGGCGCCTGCCACCACGCCCGGCTAATTTTTTTTGTATTTTTAGCAGAGACGGGGTTTCACCGTGTTAGCCAGGATGGTCTTGATCTCCTGACCTTGTAACCCGCCCTCCTCGGCCTCCCAAAGTGCTGAGATTACAGGCGTGAGCCACCGCATCCGGCCTAGAAATTCCTTTTTTATTTTTAACGAGACAAGATTTTACTTAATGAAGGGATTTATCTCGATGCTCATAGCAGATCTTGAAAATTTTTAACTTTGGAAGCTTTTAAAAATAGCATAAATGGTTGCAGAAGTCAGTGGAAGATAAATTGATCTTATTAGAAGATACGTTACTCAATAGAGGCTCACCTGGTTTAGAGAAAAACTATAACCTAAACAGAAAGAGGAAAGAAATGCAGAAAAATGGCCTTGGAAAAAATCTAACACTGATAACACCTGAAAACTTTGCTTGTTCACAGTATTGTTAAGCTAAGGCTCTTGTAATGTTTCCAAAGAATAAATGAGCCTAAAGTCTGCTGTAACTCAATATGACCTTAAAGACTGTCTTCTAACAACTCTTATGGCTATTCAAACTACTCAGCATTCAAATGGATGCTTTAGGCTGCTGTGTGACTTAGAAAAATGAGCTCCATTTTGTAGGCAGCCCTTGCTGCTTCTGTGCTCTCACTTTGATGCTCAGGCACATTCTGCTGTGTATCACCTCCTTTATCCAAATAACCATGCTCAACATCAAAGGCCTTCCTATCTCTACTTGCCGAAACATTTTCTAAGTGCTTTAGGCCTGTGGGCCAAATTCCACCTGCCTAGCAGAGTCTAATGCCACAGACATAACTCTGCAAAGCACTTCTTATTGCAGGCAGAGCAGGGCAGATGGGACTCTGCTAATGCCAATTTTAAATATTATTTGTCTGATCCTTTTCACTCCCACAACCACAGAAAGTCAGGGCCAAGTCTCGACTTAGGTATAAAGCTGCCCCAGATAAATTTATGTTCATATTACTAGAAAAGAAGATTATTATGATGTTATAGCCTATATTACTGCAGGGATCCCACTAGCCAGGTAACTAATAATAACTTCTAGTTGGACTAGAAATCATTGGTGTTTCAGAGTACTAATTCATGAATTATTCTAAAGCATGGAGGAACCCTGTATTTTGATATACTCCTATGGTATATGTGAAGTTCTCCAATTGTGCTTTACTAATTTTATATTCATAGAAGTAAATCTGTTTTTGAAATGTAATTTTAGGTAGAATCTCAACATTTAGAATAGAAAAGTGGGATTTCTATTAAAGGAGATAAGTAAGCCCAAACGTTAAGACAGCCTGTGACCCTATGATATACTTTGAGGTACAATTATACAATCTTGGAGCTCCATAGAACATAATTTGCTAATCACTGGTCAAGATGAAACCCAAATTTAATTTTGTGTTATCAGTTTCCCTGTGTTATTTTTAGCTCTCTTGCTAGATCCATATCCTCTTGAATCCATGAGTAATTAAAACTCATAACAGTTGGAGTTTTTCTTGATTTGAGGAGACCCATATTTATAAACACCAAGCTTTTAATTTTGACCACTTGGGTTAGATTGGGTTAAAATCTTTCTAAAGTAAAATATATGTTGCCTAATGCCCTTAAATGGTGTGCTAAATACATTTTAATCTTTTTGGCTTAAATTATATGTTACTGTAGTTTAACATTTTGGAAACTATAATATATGTTACAATACTAGATAATTAATACAATACAGTAGAAAAAGCATGAGCTGTGGTGTCCATGGCATGCAGCCCCCTTAACAGCTGTGTGATCTTAAGAAAATAACCTATCCTAGTCACTTTTAAAAAATTCATATCAGAATGATACCTAATTTGCAGAGATGACTATAAAAATTACTTAGAATAATGCCTTTCCCATAGTCAGTATCAAATAACTTGGGGATGGGAGGCAGAGAGGGGAATTGATAAAGACTGCTAGCTGTCCACCCAAATCCATACCCCTCATTAGGAACTGAGTTTCCCTAGGGAGGATTTACCTTCACCACCTTTTAGGGCCATTCTCGAGTGGGGCTGTAGGGCAGCTACCAGCTATTTCTAGCTAGCACCTAGACGAAAATTGACCCTTTTCTGTTGCAGACGCACACTGCTTTCCTCCTGTTAGTTGGGTGCCGTGAACCTCTATGAGGCCAGAGGTGTGAGGTGAGAGGGAGGCAGTAATACGACACAGAGAAGCAACATAAGAGAAGGATCACTGCTCTTCAACTTACTTGTGTCCTCCAGATCTGCCAGGGTCCAATTTGCACAGGTGCCACTTCTACCAAACAACAGATTGCTGGGGGACTGCCTAACCTTGTGACTTGGGAGATCTGATGGGACCATGTAGACTCAGGTTACATAGTTAATTGATACCCCATCGTCAGAAGTCCAGTCTCTATTAGGCAAGGAGTTCCTTTGCCAACAATGAGCAGTTTTCTGTCACGCAAGGACCAGCCTTGCTCTAAACTGCTCTTTGCTTCTGTCATGATTCTTTTATTGAGGCTGGCATCCAATCACCATGGAAACCTCTAATACTAATAGATGTGCTGAATCTTGTGAGCTGAGTGACAGGGCCAATTGTACTGCGGCTAGAAGCCAAGTGACCTGATTCTTGAATCCCCATGCTGAGAGTCTGTGCTGTACGGTCATTTCTAGGTATCAACTGTCTTAGTACAGCTTCTCTGGAAAAAGTCTGAAACAAGGGCTTGTAGGCTAGGTGTTCTCTTTTTAAAAAAAAAATAAACATTGTACATATTTATGATGTCAAACATGATGTTTAGAAATATGTATACATTGTGTAATGGCTAAATCAAGCTAAGTAGCATATCTATTACCACATATACTTATCATTTTTATTTTGTGGTGAGAACATTTAAAATCTACTCTCCTAGCAATTTTTCAGTATGCAAAACATTGTCATTAGTTATAGTCATCATGTTACACAATAGATCTCCTGAACTTATTCTTCATATCTGACTGAACTGTAGTATCTACTGACCAGTATGTTGCCAGTTGCCACCCAATCTTCAGCCTCTGGTAACCACCATTTACTCTCTGTTCTTAGGAGTTTGACTATTTAAGATCCCACATATAAGTGAGATTATACAGTATTTGTCTTTCTGTGCCTGGGTTATTTATACAACATCCTCTAGGTTCATCCACATTGTCACAAATGCAAGATTTCATTCTGTTTGAAGGCAAAATAATATTCCATTGTGGATAGGTATGACATTTACTTTATCCATTTATCTGTTGATGGACACTTATGTTGATTCTATATTTTGGCTATTGTGAATAGTGCTGCAATAAACATGGGAGTGCAGATATCTCCTTGACACACTGATTTCGTTTCCTTTGGATATGCACCCAGTCGTGGAATTGCTGGATCATATGGTGGTTCTATTTGTAATTTTTTAAGGAAGCTTCATACTGCTTTCCATATGGCTGCACTAATTTACATTCCCACCAACATTGTATAGAGTTCCTTTTTCTCCACATCTTTACCAACTCTTATCTCTTATCTCTTTGGTAACAGCCATGCTAAAAGGTGTGAGGTTATATCTAATGATTATAGTTTGTTTTTTTTCTGATGATTAGAGATAGTAAGCATTTTTCATATATATACCTGTTGGTCATTTGTATGTCTTCTGAGAAATGTCTTTTCAGGTTATTTCCCATTTTTTAATTGATTTATTTATTTTCTTGCTATTGAGTTGGGTTCCTTATATATTTTGAGTATTAGCCTATTAACAGATGTATGGCTTGCAATTTTTTTCCCATTCTGTAAGTTGTCTCTTCACTGTGTTGATTGTTTCTTTTGCTGTGCATACGATTTTTAGTTTGATGCAATCTCATTTATGTATTTTTGTTTGTGTTGCCTGTGCTTTGGGGGTTATATCTAAAAAAAAAATATTTGTCCAGGCCAAGTTCAAGAAGTTTTTCCCTTATGTTTTCTCTTATGTTTAAATCTTTAACCCGTTTTTAGTTGAATTTTGTATATGGGATAAGATGAGGGTCCAATTTCATTCTTTTGTATATGAAGGTCCAATTTTCCCAGCACCATTAATTAAAGAAACTATTATTTTTCCATTATATGTTCTTGGGACCTTTGTTGAAAATCGGTTGGGTATAGATGTGTGAATTTATTCCGGGACCTTTATTCTGTCCCATTGTTCTAGATGCCTGTATTTGTGACAGTACCATGCTATTTTGATTACTATAACTTTGTAGTAGATGTGAGTTTTGGGAAGCAATCCCAGAAAACAAAGGTTGAAGTCTGGAAAGAATGAAACTGGGAAGTAGGGAAAGGCAGCCCATGGGTCATTCTCAAGCTACTCCCCACAGTGGGCAAGTAGGTATGATTTTGGCAAGGGGCCCTCTCAGGATGAACTTCAATATTGTTTAATATTTGAACTTCTGCCGAAGGAACAGAACGGGGAATGCTGTATCCACTGACTCCTGCCCCATGGGTCAAGGGTGGCCTCCAGGTATGTTGTTAAATCCAGGTTTGCTCACACATAAGAATGGCCGAGCAGGCTCCTTTTGGCATCCAGTGTGGTAATAATACCAGAGAAGACTTGAAGTAGAAAGCGAGATCCATATAGTACAATCCAGGTAAGGAGCTTTCAGGTGACACCTGCCTGCAGCTAGTCACTACGCCTACTACCAGAGTAAAAAGACAGGGCATGGCCAGGCGTGGTGGCTCACGCCTGTAATCCCGGCACTTTGGGAGGCCGAGGCAGGCCGATAATGAGGTCAGGAGACTGAGACCATCCTGGCTAACATGGTGAAACCCCGTCTCTACTAAAAATACAAAAAAAAATTAGCCAGGCGTGGTGGCAGGCGCCTGGAGTCCCAGCTACTCTGGAGGCTGAGGCAGGAAAATGGCGTGAACCCAGGAGGTGGAGCTTGCAGTGAGCCGAGATCGCGCCACTGCACTCCAGCCTGGGCAACACAGTGAGACTCTGTCTCAAAAAAAAAAAAAAAAAAAAAAAAGGCAGGGCACAAGATGTGCCCCATGTAGGTATACTATTTTCTCTAAACAAAAGGGTCACAGCGGCTGCGGCTGTGCTTTAGTAATAAAAATAATTACTATTGCTTTTATAGTTTTTGTAACATTTTTGCTTTAGATATCATTTCTCACTGCTATTGACATGTTTTCCTATGGTACTGTTTCTAACTCCCACTAAGGGTCTTTCTCTTCCACCATGCATTTGAAAGCAAATTAGTTAGGATTACACATAAATTAAGAGTAAATCAGCTTTGAGTGAAATCCTGAAATGATCCTTAAAAGTACATGTTGTTATGACTTTTGATATGTCTATTTAGTCTACACAGTGCCCACTTATTTCCTCTTAATTTCTCACTTTCTTTTACATTCTGGTTGTGTGAAATAATCAGAGAGCCAAGTTATAAATTAACATGGACTGTTGTTATGTTTGTATAATATAACTTATTATTTCTTATTGTTATTTTCTAATGAGGTCAAAAAAGTAAAAGCATGTCTCATAGCATTTTGCTAAGCATTATAGCTTTGTTATTCAAGGGTATACATTCATACAAATATATGAAATTAGTAACAAATTCGTACAAATTTGTACCAATTGCCTTTGGTTTAGGTTCATTACGTTAAAAATTTAAAAGACTGTTAAACCACAAATAATAAGATGATGTATTTTGAACAGAACTTCCAATATATGTTCCCGGTTAAAAAAAAAAAAGATATTTCTCTTGAAAATAAAACACTTAAACATCTGCTTGCTCCAAAGTGTTTTACAAAAAAAAGTAATAAGGACAAAAATAATAATGGAGGAAAAAAAGTAAACAAATTCAACTTCAGATGGCTTTTATCTTTGATGCAGGCTCTAATAGTTCAAATTAAGCAGAGACTAAAATACAAATATTGATTTTGGTGCTGGCTACATTTCCAGGGTCTTTGAAATGTTTAGAAAACAGTCTGCACATTTCATTTCCTTTTTGTTTGGACAGCACATTGTTGCCAGTATTTCTTTGATTCGAACATCTGGAATCGCTAAAACATACAGCTGGGCAGAGCTGCCAGTGATATTTTGTTTTCTTGACTAAGAATCAGAACCTTGACCTCAACCAAGGGTAATTATCTGGGCAAGTTTAATGATGAAATCCTGAGGAGAGGTGACAAGATGAAGGCACAGGTACTGGTGACCATGGCATTTGGAACTGAGTTTGTTGCTGCACATCTCTGAGTTTTATGAGATGCTGTTGAAGACATCACACTGCCTTTGTCAAGCCTCCTGGGTCTCATGTCTGCTCACACATAGGGTAAGTCATGGCCCTCCCTCTCTGATGCTGGTCAGGGTCTTATCCACACATGCAGTAGGAGATAGAGGAGTGTAGCACATACTCTTGCCAGCAATTCACCCCAGTGCACGTACAAGACACACAAATTACCAACAGTAAAGTGCCATAAAGGAATCATCTTGTATCTGTGGAGAAAATAGCAAGAACAAAGATGGAACCTCTCCAAGTCCAACAGATTAGAAGTAGTCCAAGAAAGCAAAGAGGAGAATAAAATGCCAGTAATTTTGTTTTAATCTCAAAGTCAAAGCTTCCATTAAAAAAATTTTATGTAAATAAATACTTTAATGATAAATATAGGATAGTAAATTACTCAGATGATCTTACCTTTCATGTCATTTAAGAAACACAGAAGTGTAACTTGGTACAAATGCATTAGAAAACATTTTGGTAAACATATGCATGGCCCAGCAGTTCTACTCCTGGCAACACACCCCATGGAAACGAGTGCTTAGTTCCTCCCAGAGGCATATACAATAATGCAGGTACTGTAACAGCCCCAAACTGTAAATAACGCAAACATACATCATCAGTAGAATGGGTCAATGAATTGAGGTATAATTAAGAATGGAATATTCAAAGTAACATAAAGAACAGAACACTGTTACATACAACAAAATAGAGGAGTTTTGTTGACATGTTGTTAAGTGATAGAAGTCAGATACGAAAGAGTACAATCTATGATTCCATTTATATGAAATTTGAAAGTAGGCTAAACTAATTTCTTGTGATTAGAGGTCAGATCAGTGGTGATCTTGTGGCCAAGATACTGATTGGTAAGAAACATAGGGAGCTTGTGAGGTGCTTGAAATATTCTACATCTTGATCTTGGTATTGATTACACAGAAGTATACATGCATAAGTTAAAATTATTCTTGCTGTACATTTGCGTCCTTTATTGTAAGGCATGCTTCTATTTGAAAGAAAAGAATCACAGTGGGCAGGGTGCAGTAGCTCACACCTGGAATCCCAGCAGTTTGGTAGGCCAAGGTGTGCAGATCGTCTGAGCCCAGCATGGAGACCATCCTGGACAACATAGTGAGCCCCTGTCTCTACAAAAAATACAAAAATTAGCCAGGCCTGGTGGCATGCGCCATAGTTCCAGCTACTTGGGAGGCTGAGATGGGACAATTGCTTGAACGCAGGATGCAGAGGTTACAGTGAGTTAAGACTGTGCCACTACACAGTGGCCTAGGTGATAGGTAGAGATTCTGTCTCAAAATAAAATAAAATAAATCACAGTGGTGGACTCTAATAATACACAAAGTGTGAAATTGCTATTGCTACTGAAATTAATGACACATCAAGCCATTAATGTATTCTAAGAAAGTTCTAGTATAAGAAATTTGTTTTGTTTTGTTTTTTTAGACAGCATCTCACTCTGTTGCCCAGGCTGGAGTGCAGCAGAGCAATCTCAGCTCACTGCAACCTCCGCCTCATGCCTCAGCCTCCCGAGTAGCTGGGATTACAGGTGCACATTACTATGCCTGGCTAATTTTTGTATTTTTAGTAGAGACAGGGTTTCACCATGTTAACCAGGCTGGTCTCTAACTCCTGATCTCAGGTGATCTGCCTGCCTAGGCCTTCCAAAGTGCTGAGATTATAGGTGTGAGCCACCGTGCGTGGTCTACTATGAGAATAATCCTTAAATTATATAAATGTTTCCGGACCCAAGCATCCAAATGAACAAAGTCACTTAAAGCAGTCAGTTTAGAGGCCACAGTTCAAATTATGCTGACATTGCTCTCTAATTGTTGGATTTTCATTTTAGAAACTATCTTCCTACATTATGGGATATAATTTTGCATATGCATACAGGGGCAGATATTTGTCCTTTGAAGATGTCCTAAGTTTTTGCTAGATATACATAATTTGAAACTCTGGGATGTACAGAGATTTGCAATGTGACTAATAACATTTTTTGTTGTTGTTCAGTAATCAGGTGTGGTTGGCTGAAAAATAATGAGAGTAATTATGTTGTCTGGCTCCACAAATATTCCTAAGGCTGATTCCAAAGAAAGGCTCCTAAAATATGCAGACCTTTGTTAGCATCAATGATTAAAGGCTTATCAAAGCCTGACAGCAAGTTTGCACAGTCAGAAAGAGCTTGGCTCTTGGAACTCAAACAAGTCCAAATTCAGGAAACTAAGCAACTTTGTATTTATTTCAGCAATTCAGACAGGAATTTGCCATGAGATAAGCTTATTCTCAGGAAGTATCACCACTTAACTTACTTAACTTACAGTAGGGTAGGGAAACAACTCCAGGACCTTCATCTCTAATCTGAAAAAGTTCTCTTCCCTCTTCTGATGAGACCAGTGCCTCCTATCTTCAGAAGGGCTGAAGTTTATAGCAGTGACATGTGAGTCATTTTCTTTCAGTTTCCAAATCATCTACTTTGCTTAAGCAATTAAATATGCCTCTTTATGCTACATTTTTCACCTCCCTAGCCATTTCCATTCTTCTATTTGAAAAAGCATTTGACAGAGTCAGCACACAGGGCCTCCTGCTTTGCTGTCTTCATCAGGGTGATATTGAAAGAGTTGTCTGATCTTGCTAAGACTCAATTTTCTTGTTTGTAAAATGATGATGAAATAATGCCTACCTCGCTAGCTTGTTAGGAAGTGTTTGAGGAACATTCTTGGCTAAAGGTCAGGGGAAATTCCCTTCTCTTTGCCAGGCCCTACGTTAATTAATCTACATTAATTAATCTCTTTGCCAGGCCCAAAGTTAATTAATTATTTCTAAGCATTGAGCGAAACATTCAGAACACCAGGATGAGACAAAAGGGATATTTTTCAAGTCCTTTTAGTTTCTGCACAAGATAATATTAAGTATTATTCACATATTTCCCACTTTGGAGTCTCAATCATCTTTCTGTTGGAAGTCTTCTTTAAATTATATCAAAAAGGTTAAAGCAGTAAACAAATATGACACAGGTCCCTCTGGTCTCAGTTCCTTAGGGATCAGATAACCCATATCTCTCTTTTGTGTCAATGATTATATCCAATCCTATCTCTTATTTCTTACATGGGACCTGAAATGAGGACTTCCTCTCCTTTTTAACAGAAGTATGACCAATTATCCACATTTACATTCCTCATGACAGAGCAAGATATAAATATTTTGATGAATATTTTATGCTTTATGTAACTTACGTAAAGCATTTTTATTGATTGAGAATAGATGGATATAGTATTCTTTTTTTTTTTTTGAAATGGAATTTTGCTCTCGTCACCCAGGCTGGAGTGCAATGGTGCGATCTCAGCTCACTGCAACCTCCACCTCCCCAGTTCAAGCAATTCTCCTCTTCAGTGACCTCCTGAGTGGCTGGGATTACAGGCACCTGCTACCATGCTCAGCTAATTTTTGTATTTTTAGAAGAGACAGGGTTTTACCGTATTGTCCAGGCTGGTCTCAAACTCTTAACCTCAGGTGATCCACCCACCTCAGCCTCCCAAAGAGGTGAGATTACAGGCATGAGCCATCGCACCCAGCCCTGATACAGTATTCTTAAAGGTCTAATACATTTTTATTTTGAACTGTTTGACTCAGATACATCATAGTAAAGGTATAATTTCCTAGGCATAAATTTATTTAGATCACCCATTCAGTGACCATCATTTATAAGTATTACACTGATCACTAAGAGGTATTTGCCTTGTTATTGAGTGTACTTAATTTCCAAATCTATGATCTTCCCTTCTTTAACTTCTTAAATAGTGTTAGATAAGATTGTTTCATTCTATTTGTTCCAAATTAATACTATCCGCAACTGAAGTATGTCCCAATCTGCCTCAGCTTTTTGGAACCAAGGGTAACACTCCTGGAGATCATAAACATCAAATCAATATACAATAAACTACTTTTGAGGTATGATATCTTCCTCCCTGAGAGAGTGCAATAAATTTTGGGCTTCCTCGTTTTATAGCTTCTAATGGGCACTAAGAGAACATTAGTTGGTTTAATTAAAATGGCACACATGTAATTACTCAACCTGATGCTAAAATGGTGCAGTCTTTTATTATACTCAAAGCAGTGTCTTATATGACAGCCAGTGTCCCTTAAAGCAATACTAAGTTTTTTATTTGTTTGATTTTTTTGTGTTGGTTTTGGTTTTAACAGCAAATGCAATAAAATCCTAGGACTCCCAGACTGAACCAGTAAAACAAACCAACTGTAGCTATTGGTATACATGCAGAGATGTGCTGACAAGTTAAGGCATACAAACATAACAGTATTTGTATAACTAAATAAATAAAAATTTTTTAAGTTATTTAAAAGTAAGTGAACTGTTACTTTTAAAGATAGCAATTGGGCAATGTGACTTTTCCAGCAGAACTTACTCTTTGCCAAAATTGGGATGTTGTATGTGAGATTATTCCATAAATCCAATGGCACATTTTTAGTTTTTTATATTCATTCTCTAGCCATTGTCAATTCTTCCTGCATAAAGTTGAAAGTTAGAAGCCATGACACAAGTTAAAGAAATGTTTTACTTTTTATCCACTTGGACAATGCATCACGGCTGTGGTTATCTGTACCCATTTCACATCTCCACTTCTTTGAGCAAGAATGGCTTGTTGAATCACCCGGTGGCCTGCATCGGTGGATGTGAAGGAGTGAATGCATTGTGCTACTAGGCAAAGGCCTCCTCATGGGTTTTCTTGATTTCCCTCTCACTGGGGTGGAGCTGATTCTTTCCCACAGCAAGTGAACAAGGCTGCCAGGGTTTATTCCAGTTGGATGGCCTCAGAGCAATTAGGGTACACTTTAATTACTAATGAGCCATTTAGATTTATGCAGAAACTTCAAAAGAAACTTGAGTTATTTTCTTACTTTGCATGCTTCACATGTCTTGGCCCTTAAAAAGCTCAAAATATTGAGCCTTTCTTTCTCCATGCAATAGTCCAAACAATCCCAATCTGAAGCATAAAAAAACTATTTCTTTGAGATCTTTACCCCTCAAAATGCTAGTGAATAACATTGAATATTCTGCCATGTTCATAGAAACATATTATGTAAACTTGGGTAATTCCAAACACACTCTTTTACCCTGTTTTTATAGTATTTATTTGGTACTGATTTAGAATGTATATAGACTTTTGATTCAATTTACTGATTATCTTCTACAGTTAATAAAACAGTTGCTCTCTTCCATAATGTACTGTGTTTGTGTGCAATCTAGTCTCTACCAACAGATAATGTCCAAGCACATTATTTGTTTTACAGGAACATATATTGGAAATCCTTGGCTGGTCTCCATGAAGTCCCCTCCACAAAGGACTGCTAGTACAAACCCAATTTCCTCTAGACTTCTGCAGAAGAGGCTAAAGTATGCTAAAAGCTAACTTGCTTCCCACCAAGTAGAAAAGTCTTACATTTCAAGTTCTACATAGTGCAGAGAAGGCCAGAGTGAATCTGGAGAAATCACATTGCAACTTCAGCTTTGGGAAATAATAGCCTTCATCAGAAGTAATGGAACTATGAGAAACAATTAGGAAAAGAAAGATTGACTGGAGTCATTGGGACTTGTGTCCTTCTGGGCTCTATTTCAGCTAGAACCCAGGAGACATCTAGTAACTATGCCCAAATGGATGATGTTCTAGAAATCCAGCTCAGATAGACCCCAGAGACCTTCAGAAAGCCCCATGCTGCCATATGCGGTTGAGGGCAATGACCTGGAGAAGTGACTCTTGATTCGTGTGTTATGACCAAGAGGGTTTGAGGCATGCACAGTGGCTGGTACAAAACCCAAAGAAATTTTCTTCATTAAGATCTACACAAATTCTGATGCCTTTGTAATAATCTGATAAAAGGCCCACCAGCCGGCTGTGGTGGCATACACCTGTGGTCACAGCTACTTGAGAGGCTGAGGCAGGAGGATCACTTTAACCCAGGAGTTTGAGGCTTCAGTGTGCTACGATTACACCTATGAATGCCCATTGCACTCCAGCCTGGATGGGCAATATAGTGAGACCAAATCCCTAAAATAAATAAATAAATAATTGTAGAAATAAACATTTTATTTCAAAAAAAAAAATAAATGACAAATTTTTTTTAAAAAGATCCACCCAACGAATGCCTATGCTTCTACTTTAGAGGCAGTTAACTTCCCAAACAGGAAGTCTAATAGCAGATCTCCTTTTAGGCTTACATTCAATAGAAGACAGAGCTTCAAACAACCCTGTCTCTGAATTGCCTCTGATCACTATGCATCTAATACCCTGAGTAAAGCAATACGTTAATCAAGTCTCAGCCACCTGTTTAAATCCCACCATAATAAGATAACATATGCAAAGACTAGCACAGGCCAGGAAGTGTTGGCCCTCTTCCTTTTTTCCCAGCAAGCACACAGAGATGATGTAAGTTTTGCTATCAAAATAAACTTATGTATGTAAAAGCACAAGTTTTGCTGTCAAAATGAGCTTAGGTATGCAAAAGCACTTCATTGAATACATCAGTATCGAATTTTAAAATAGTACTATTCTGCTGGTTTTTGTTCCATGAGACTAAAATAAAAAAGTAGTTGTTAAACAAATTTACCTAGGCTCTTTCATGTTAAGCCCAATTACTAGTCAATTTTATCAGTATAATTCCAGCAAAAATTCATTTGGATTATAATCAAAATGAATAATTTGATACGTGAACAAAATTTATGTGTAAGATTGTTCATCAGTATTTTATATATTTATAGCTTTGAAAATTTGAAGCAGTTTAGTTATGCAACAACAGGTGATTGTTGAAAATTATGGTACTACTCAATAATTAAATTCATGCTGGAAAGTAATATTTAATAACCTAGGAAAATAATTATAATTTATTTTTAGCCAAGAGAAACAGGTTATAAAATAGTATAGAGAGAATATATGTAAAACTACAAACACACACACATACATATACACATACAGAAAGATATGGCATTTATTAAAAATACTTAAAAGAGATATACAAAAATGTTAACAGTATAGGAATTCTGGATTAAAAAATACATTTGTAATAAATTGTGTATATTTTCCACAGTGAATATACATTATCTTATAGGGAAAAAAGCAGTTATTAAAATGAAAAGAGTCAACATAGTGAAAACAATTAGTCAAACTGGCCATAAGAGATTATGTAGGCAAAACACCTGGCTGATTGGATTTTCCAGTTTTCTGCTGGTTGTTTTGATTGTGTGTAGGCATAGCCTCTTTTGTTAGTTTAGAAGCACAGGCTTGCATAAAGTCCAAATGAAGAAGATATGGATAAGAATAGCAGAGGTTGTTAATTTTTCCATTAGACCCACCATCTGATTCTCTTCAGGCTCATGTCTCTTGAATCCAGGATGAATTTCATAGCTCAGTATTTCAGTTAACTCCTAGCAGGGCTAGATGTTATTCGTGGTAATGGTGGTCTCCTGTTTCTTGTGAAGTAGTCTAAGGCAGATGTCCAAGAAATCCAGATGTTAAGGAATATCACTGATTTTAAAGATACAAGAGTATTTCATATTCTTATAACAAGGGAGGCATCACAAAGCAATAGGCAAAAAAAAGTGGCTACAGAAAATAGTCATTTACAGGGTAAACACAAATCACTTTTGCATATTATAAAAAGTCAAGACTCTCAGGCACTCTCCAGGCATTTTTAGTTTTCCCTTACCACAGTGGCTCACGCCTATAATCCCAGCACTTTGGGAGGCCAAGGTGGGCGGATCAAGAGTTCAGGAGTTGGAGACCATCCTGGCTATCATGGTGAAACCCCATCTCTACTAAAAATACAAAAAAAATTAGCCGGGAGTGGTGGCAGGTGCCCGCAGTCCCAGCTACTCGGGAGGCTGAGGCAGGAGAATCGTGGGAAACCAGGAGGCGGAGCTTACAGTGAGCTGAGATAGTGCCATTGCACTCCAGCCTGGGTGACAGAGCGAGACTCTGTCTCAAAAAACAAACAAACAACAACAACAAAAAAAACAAAAAAATCAAAGTAAAAATTAAAAATTTCTAAGATAGTAGCCTAAATTATTTTTAAAAAATTACTTGGGCTTTTTCCATGTATTAGTTATTACCTCTAAATCATGGTTAATTTATTTGTCTTGGGTGGACTGTTTTCGTAGCACCTTTCTTGTTGAGAAAAGCAGTGATACATACATTTCCTAGTAGGTGGTGGTCTTTCTTTCCATTTTTATTTTTATTTTTCATTTTTACTTCCCAATTTAAACTTGGAAACAGCCTTTGAATACAGACTTTCTAGAGACAGCCACAATACTTGCTACCAAGAAATGTTGGTAGTGAGAAATTCCAAGGACATCTTTGAAAAATGCTTCATTTTAATAAAATATTGTCATATACTTGTTTATCATATTTGCTTTTCTTGTCTTAAAGAAATCTTATAGAAAGCACGTGGCCATAAAGACTGAGCTGACCATGTCCTGGTGTGAACAGAACATAAGGCTCTCCATCAGTGCTTGCTGCTTCTGCAGGCATGGGAGTTGGGAGGCATGTAGACAGTTTGTGGCTACACAGAAAACAAACCCTAGTGTATGGGGTTAGGCTTGGCCCCAAGTGCTTGGCATGGAAAAATGCTTTTAAAGTAAGGCATTCAGTATGAGTGAAGGGACTTCCTGTCAACATGATGTTATTTCATTAACTAATGGGTTAGTAAGGAATAAACTAAAGAATATTTTAAAAATCTTTTTTTAAAAAAAGCTGAGCTTCAGGCACATCTCTGCTAGCCAATAGCCAAGAATTCCAAGATGAATAGAATAGGGATGATAATGTTCTCCTTGATATTCTGAAATGTGGACAACATATAGCTACATATGTCCACTGCCAACCCTACCCCCGGGATACTTGGTGTCCCTTGTGGAAGTCCACATTTTTGTTTAAACCATAGCACTTGCCAACTTCTAACACAAGATACAATATACTTACTGTGTCTTTAGTAGTTCCCTTCCACTAGAATATAATCCCCATAAAGGCAGGATTCTTCTGTATTTTGTTCATTAATCTACAAACCAGCACCTAAAACCATGCCTAACTGATAGTAGGCGCTCATTCAATATTTTGTGAATGCATGAATGCCTTATGTACAGACCACATGCACAAGTGAGATTATATGAGTTTGTAAACGTAAATCATTGTGTGTCCAGAATTGGTTCCTTCTGTTGGGTTCTTGGTCTCGCTGACTTCAAGAATGAATCCATGGACCCTTGCAGTGAGTGTTACAGCTCTTAAAGATGGTGTGTCCGGAGTTTGTTCCTTCAGGTGTTCAGACGTGTCTGGCATTTCTTCCTTCTGGTGGGTTCTTGGTCTCACTGACTTCAGAAGTAAAGCTGCAGACATTCGCAGTGAGTATTACAGCTCTTAAAGGTGGTGCATCTGGGGTTGTTTGTTCCTCCTGGTGGATTCGTGGTCTGGCTGATTTCAGGAGTGAAACTGCAGACCTTTGCAGTGAGTGTTACAGCTCTTAAAGGTGGCACAGACCCAGAGAGTGAGCAGCAGCAAGATTTATTGTGAAGAGCAAAAGAACAAAGATTCCATAATGTGGGAAGAAACCCAAGCAGGTTGCCGCTGCTGGCTCGGGTGGCCTGCTTTTATTTCCTTATTTGGCCCCGCCTACATCCCGCTGATTGGTCCATTTTACAGAGTGCTGATTGGTCTGTTTTTATAGAGTGCAGATTGGTACATTTACAAACCTTTAGCTAGATGTAGAGTGCTGAGTGGTACATTTTTACAGAGTGCTGATTGGTGCGTTTACAAACCTTTAGCTAGACACAGAGTGCTGATTGGTGCGTTTTTACAGAGAGCTGATTGGTGCATTTACAAACCTTTAGCTAGACAGAGTGCTGATTGGTGTGTTTACAATCTTTTAGCTAGACAGAAAAGTTCTCCAAGTCACTACCCAACCGAGAAGCCCAGCTGGCTTCACCTCTCAATTGTATTTTCACTTAGAGAGTTAACTGCTAAAAAAAATTCTCTTATGTGATTGCCCTCATTAAGTTTGCTAATGCGTACTCAAAGAAGTTTTGTAACATTTTCTTCCAAAATTTCTAAGCACCTTATTTCTGGTCCTGTGTATTTTTACCCTACTTTATGGAGACTCAGAGCAAACCTTCCTAAATCACCTCCTGCTTTAAATTGTGTCACACTCTACTGCCTTGGGCTGTGTGCTTACAAAAGATTTAGGAAAGTTCTTTTGAGGCAATCAGGGATTTCTATTTATGCATAGTGGGATAATTTGTATTTATGAAATATTAAATTATTTTGATTATATTTATGAGCTTTTATGGCTCATAAAGAAACAATGGGATCTATTTATGTTTTTGTCCTCATTTTTCTCCCACTCCTGATTTCAAGAAGGAAGCCAGATATTTTGCCCTCCTTTTCTCAGGTACTATGTTATGTAGCAAATTCTGCTGATAAACAGCCTTTTCCTAAGATGTTGTGAAAGCTGAAGCTTACTATGGAGCTTATGCCAGATGTCACCGAGGGAGTGGGAGGAGAGATTGCCATTGGGTTCAGGAAAGACTGGAGGGACTAGATGAAGAGGAATGCAAATGGCCTAGAGTATGGACTTTGGCTCTTACTTGGAGTTGGTTGGGAAGCCATCAGAGAGTTTTGGGCAGAAGAGTGGTATGTTCTGACCTCATCTTAACAGGCTCACTCTGCTGCTTTGTTGAAAATAATCTGAAGGCGGCAAGGGATGTAGCAGGGGGAAGAGCTGGAAGCTAATGCAATAATCTTGGCAGGGGATAACGATGGCTCAAACTAAAGTGGTGGCAGTGGAGTTGGTTAGAATGTTCAGCTCTTGGGAGAGCAGACCTTTGAGTAATATTTCTTACAAGAATTAGGCAGCATTTTGACTCATTTAAACTCTCTCTTCACTGCACCCCTTTGGGATATATTCCTGAGACTGTTGGATTTGAATATAGTCTGCAGATGTGGACGCAGCAAAGCTAGCTGACTCACACGGGAATTGAACTCATAACCTTGATCTTATTAGCTTCTGCCCTAATCAATTTAGCTAACATGGACCAAGAAACTATAGAGGCTCATAGACCTTCTTTCATCAAATCCTGTATAACCTTAAAATTATCTGCCAACCTTAGATAAAATCCTACGGTTTCTTTGCTTTTGTTGTTGAAACAGTATTAAGTGCCTATCAAATTGACTTTAAAAATAACGTAAAGTTCACAGAGAGTTCTGCTTGTAAAACAGCAAGCCCTGTCCATCATGGACTCATGTAGCCATTCTCAAAAAGTCAATTTTTAGATGTCCATTTTGATGGTCTTTCTTAAATTGGAAAATAATTAAAATTTTCTGAATTTGCTCATTTGTCCACAGGGATCAATTCACCTTCTGGGCACACAGTTGTACATTCTAACAGAATTACACAAGGCAAAGAAGTACCATATATTACAGCTCAAATGGTAATAAGAGATGGAGATAACCACCTCTTGAATAATAATTTTTAAACCCTTCTTTACCCAAGGCACAATGTTCCTTCACAGGAGAATAATCACGTGGGAGAACATGCCAATTATAAGGCAATTGGTTTGTTTTTCTAGCAGACTTGCTTTATTAGGAGTCCCCTAATGTGTTACACATTCTGTTACAAAGTGTGACAATTTACAGTGCATTCTGGGGATTTCAGAAAAGGGAAAGATCTTGCAAATTATTATCTGTGACAGAATTATAATTTTACAAATGATTAATCTCAATCATCCATCTCTTTTTCCTCTTGGGTTAAGCAGGAATATTATATCCTGCAAAATTAGCTGTCAAAATGTGAGCTCGTGGTTTTGGAGTATTTGTACGTCGGGAAAATGAAAAGAAGATCTTTATTAATGAACTGGATTAAATAAATAAAAAGGTTTTTGTAGGAGACATGCTACTCTGTTGCTACAATATGTCTCATGATTTCCCAGTAGCCAGATGATATTTACCAAATTAAATCGGGGCTCAGTATGACTGTATTACTGGTTTCTGGGGTTACCTTTCCACCTTAGTGTGTTATTTTTACATATGCCTGTCTTTTGGGCTGGGTACACATGCTAATGCATATTACTGTCCTTCGTTATTCAACTTACACTAACTAGAGGTAAATATTTTGATGACAGAATCATTTGGAAAGTATTTGGGAGTGGCAAAAATTGTACATACATCACCATACTGGTGTTGAGGTCAGAAAGTAGCAGTTCAGGAAAGGGGAGAGGATTTAAAGGGAAAATTACACATCAAGAACCATGTGAACAGATGAAGCAATCTTGAAATCAGGCATCTTACCAAACATTATTTTGTAACTTCCGGATAATTAACTTGAAGTTGCCATTATGCTTATAGTATATCACCTACAACTTTAGCTTGTAATTATGTATATATATATATGTGTGTGTCTTCATCCCAATAGCTAGGCTACAAGCTCAATTCCTTTAATATAGCAGACATTCAGTTAATAAAATAAGAAAAAAGACAAAAAGAAAGAAAGAGAAAGAGAGAAAGAAAGAAAGAGAATGGAATATTGAGAAAAGCAGGTGATTAAAAATAATGGTGGCTCCTAAGTTGGGCTGTGTAGACACCAATCACAGGATAAACACCAAAACAACTGACATCATGATATATTTAACTTGGAAGAAAGAGTGAGAGTCTGAAGCTTTCCAAACTCACAAAATAGAGCAAAAAACAGAGCTTTTGCAAAGGCTAATAATGTTCATGGTTGCTTCATATGCAAAGACATAGCTACTGCATTCTTCACCTCTGGCTATGCTGAGAATTCCTGTGATTCTGTTTAAAAAAAAAAAAAAGTGGGTGTTTGGACCCCACCTTAGATCTGCTGATTTTTAAACTCATCAGAATTTCCAGACCTCAGTGTATTTTAAAGTTGCACCAGGACAAGTAACCCTGAGGGTTGGCCAGAGGTGAGGACCCTTGGCAAGGATTGTTGCTGTCATCTTTGTTGAGGAAGGGCTAGAACTGCTGGACTCTACTCTCTTTCCTCTTTAGGACTCTTGTTTTCACCTGTATCTTCAGTTGAAGGATGGAAAACCTTGTAGATGATACCTTATTAGGAAAAGGAGTTGATAATAAGGATACCTCTGTGCCAGAACTGGAACTGTCACAAGATGAGGCCACTCCAGAGGCCATCTACAAGTTCCTTCATTATCCTGAGCCACATGTTTGCTCTGTCTCTATAAATCTCTCTCAAAAAAAGTGCACACAGTGACATGTCTTTTTCTTTCTACTGTCTATGGAAATGTTTCCTCATTGTTTATCTGCTCAGTTTTGGGGGATTTTTTTGGTATATGTGGAACCTGTACTTCCTCTTAATTTCTGCTTTTCATAACTTCAGTTTCCTTCCGATCCAGGAGACCTGCACAGGCTCTGGCTGTAATATCCTGTCAGCCTCAGCTCCCCATGCTAGCTACTTCACCCTCCAGAGAGACTGACTGGCTCAGCTCATCTTTGCACAAAAGGCTACATCTTAGAAGAAATTCCTTTGGGTCAAACGCCTCTTCTAATGCAGTTATCTGGGGCTAGATGTTTGGAATCACGATGACCAAAATATGTCTGCCTCAGGGTGGTCTCTTAGAGGAAGTGTGCATATGGTAGATACCTGGTATTGTATACTCTATGGCTCTACATTAGTTGTGTTTTAGAGGTATTTATATACATGTCTCGTCTTCCGATTTTTAAGCTCCTGGGGAACTAATGCATTTTTATATGAGCAGTAGTATTTAGCAGCATGATTGGCATACTTTCTATATTCAATGCATATTGCATTGATATGTATAATTATATTGCTCTCACCTTCTTTCCCACTTTATTCTTTTTTGACTCTCTCTCTTCATTCCTTCTTTTATCCCTTCTTTTGTTCCTTCCTTTTTTTCCCACAACATGTAAGGATCTATTATGCCAAAGACAACACGAGGCACCTTAATATCAAAAATGTTAAAGATGTATTTACCACTATTAAGATGCTCCCTGTCTAGCAGGGCAGAGATAGCTATAGTAGGATATTATGTTAAAAATAGAGTGTTTGTCCTCCTCCTATTTTTCCTTCGCCTATTTCACATACCTTAGTCATTCCTTATCCTTTTTTTGCTTTATGGACTTTTTCAGGGTGGAAAACAGAAGAAGCAGATGTTAATGTTTCTTTTCGCCTTTTCTAATGCCTAAACTCATCGAAGGGATGTTGAGTGTCCCAGAGGGGAAGTTAGAGAGGGTGTTTCTCTGAGGAAACAAGACACAAGAGGAAGAGAGAGTCCTACAGCTGGGAGGAAGTGTGTGCATGGGGCGGGGTTCCCTGGAGGAGTGGCAATCTTGCCCTCTCTTTGGCAGCACCCCAGGGAGGTGGCAGACCCCAAAGCAAATGGTTTTGTGCTGCTCCCTGGTGAGGCACCCAGCTTCACCACAGCATGGGAACAGCAGAGTCTTTCTACCTCAAGCAGTAGGCAGGGACATTAATCACGGGGAGGTAACCAGGGTCCAGAGAACCCATTTTACATCTTCAGAGGGACAGGACACTGGGACCTCTATACAGTAACAGGCAAGGAGGATTTTCCACTGGGGAATGCAATAGAACTGGAAGCTGGCTGGGTCACATGGGGATTGGAACAAAATTTAGGTAACTTTAAAAGACAGAAAGAACTACTATTTCTTATTAAGTTTGTGAAACTCATATATAAGCAAAAAAATATGACTAGAAGATAATAAACTAACTTCTAATAGCAGTCATTATAACATACTCTAAGACCATAGAAAGGAAGGAAGCTTAAATCTAATTTAGGAAAATCCTTGCTGCTTGTGACCATTAGCATGACCTTGTGGAGTGTGTCTCTGACTTTAGAGGCAAAACTAAAACCATACACCAGAAAATATAAACAGACCTACACACTATGGGATGACACTCATGATGCCTCATCGTTATCAGTCATGTGAGATGCCAACTGCCCCTTGGAGGTTGCTCACTGTCTAACCAGAAGGCAGTGCTCATTTTCTCACTGTTCTCACAAGTATTTTATTGTTCAGCTAATCCGTTTCACCTTTTGACATCTCATTCAATTTCCTTTTTTGAGAACTGAAGGTGCTACTTTAGAGAAATTTGGGGGCAGTTTGAACTTGTATATAGAAAAGTACTTACAATTTACAAAGAATCTTATTAAAGTTACGTACATAAGTAGTTTTTTTTGGCATAAACAATTTAAAGCATATCAGCATTTCTCCCAACAAAGTATCTCAATTATATTCTAAAACCTCATAAAAGAGGCTATTTATTTTAACAAATCAAAAGGCATTTTTTGCTTAAGTGCTATCTCATTCACACAATCATATTTATCAATAAACACATGAGGCCAGGACCTATGTTAGTGTTGTGTGTATAGAAGTAAATAATAGAAAAGGCTCTCGCCTTCAGTGAGATTGCAGTCTAGTAGGGGAGACCAATATTACACAAATTTGAAAAATTGTGAGAAAAGCCACCAAGGTCAAGGACAGGGTATTGAAGAGGATCAGACCATGCTACCCTAAAATATGCCACTTGGCATAGCATGATTTTGAGCTAAAGGCAATCAAGAATCAACAGAGGCTAGAAGAGTTCTCTGCCCTCGCATATTTGCCTAAAAGCACAGAATAAATTTTTGAACTCCTCCTTCCTCCTCCCACTCCATCATTCAGAGAAGGAATACTCTTATTATCAAAGACAGGGAGTCAATACCAAGATGAGTTTGCATAAACAAACCTTACTAAAATAGCCCTTACCTTCAATTAGTTCCTTCACATATATCCCAGTCACTTCTGCATAATTTATGGTCTCTTGAAGTCCAAACCTTCTTTCCTTTCTTAAAAGGGTATATAAGCCTCTAAGTCTATTTATTTGAATTTCTGTAGACTGCCATGCATGTAAATATTAATAAAAATTTTAATTTGCATGCCCCCAGGAACTAAACGTAAAAGGGAGAGAAAAAAGTTTTCCTTCTTGACAGAGTTTAAGAGAGAGTAAAACTAGTGACCAATATAAGAGTAAGCCAAGGAAACACTTCTTGAGAATTGAGGGTGGGGCTGAGTCCGAATGATGAACAGGGGCCAGTGTGTGTGTGTGTGTGTGTGTGTGTGTGTGTGTGTGTGTGAACACTTTTTAGATAGAGGCATAGCATGGGTAAACATCTTTGAGTCACAAAAGTTCTTGATTTCCTAAAACACAGAAATAGAGCACATACTTTTCTCGAGTGTGAACATTTTGAGAACCTTCCCAGTGGCGTTCAAACATGGCTGCATTAAGATGTTCCAAAATAAGAAAGGGCATGTGAAATAAAGGGGAGTGGAGGAACATATTCTATAGGAATCAATTCTAAAAACTGTATATCCAGTATATACCATAATGTTCTGTTACATTTTGTATGGAAATTAGGCTGATTTTGGTAACTAACTTTCATCTCCCCAGGTAACATTTCTTTAATGCATTTTTTTCTGCCAATAACCATGCTACTATTTCCATTTTTTCTTTTTCCCTCTCTCATAAAAACCAAGTACATATGTTGTTTATAAGACCTAATTTTCATACTTGATTAGCTCACTATATGAAAGTTAGTGGTTCATGTGAAGGACTGTAAGTTACAGGCTAGTGTTATTCATTGTTCCAATGATAGAAATTTTGATTCTCAATATATTACAATGAGTAATAGTAAAATTGAAATTTATGTTATATATTGTTTGTGTTAACATTTCTGATCCATTTAGGCAGGCATCATCTTCAAAGCAGTATAGTCTAAAACACAAACTTGTCATCAGTTGATGTAAAGCTTCCTTCCAATGTGATCAGATGCAGCCAAGCAACACCAGCTCTCCATTGCAAATCTTACTTTTTATTACCTTCATTAAGGTATGTAACTGTCAGGCCTCTGAGCCCAAGCTAAGCCATCATATCCCCTGTGACCTGCACATATACATCCAGATGGCCTGAAGTAACTGAAGAATCACAAAAGAAGTGAAATTTAAATGGCCTGTTCCTGCCTTAACTGATGACATTCCACCACAAAAGAAGTGAAAATGTCCGGTCCTTGCCTTAACTGATGACATTACCTTGTGAAATTCCTTCTCCTGGCTCATCCTGGCTCAAAAACCTCCCCCACTGAGCACCTTGTGACCCCCACTCCTGCCCGCCAGAGAACAACCCCCCTTTGACTGTAATTTTCCTTTACCTACCCAAATCTTATAAAACAGCCCCACCTCATCTCCCTTTGCCGACTCTTTTCGGACTCAGCCCGCCTGCACCCAGGTGATTAAAAAGCTTTATTTCTCACACAAAGCCTGTTTGGTGGTCACTTCACACAGACGCGAGTGAAATTTGGTGCTGTGACTCGGATCGGGGGACCGCCCTTAGGAGATCAGTCCCCTGTCCTCCTGCTCTTTGTTTCATGAGAAAGATCCACCTACGATCTCCAGTCCTCAGACCAACCAGCCCAAGGAACATCTCACCAATTTTAAATCCGGTAAGCAGCCTCTTTTTATTCTCTTCTCCAACCTCTCACTATCCCTCAACCTCTTTCTCCTTTCAATCTTGGTGCCACACTTCAATCTCTCCCTTCTCTTAATTTCAGTTCCTTTCCTTTTCTAGTAGAGACAAAGGAGACATGTTTTATCCATGGACCCAAAACTCTGGCGCCGGTCACAGACTCAGGAAGACAGTCTTCCCTTGTTGTTTAATCACGCGGGGACACCTGCCTGAATATTCACCGACGTTTCAGAGGTGTCTGACCACGCGGGGACGCCTGCCTTGGTCCTTCACCCTTAGTGGCAAGTACCTCTTTTCTAGGGGGCAAGAATGCCCCCTGACCCCTTATCTCCACGTCTCTACCCCTTTTCTGCTTTTCTGGAGGGCAAGAACTCCCCAACCCCTTCTCTCCATGTCTCTACCCCTTTTCCGCTTTTCTGGAGGGCAAGAACTCCCCAACCCCTTCTCTCCGTGTCTCTACTCTCTCTTTTTTCTGGGCTTGTCTCCTTCACTATGGGCAACCTTCCAGCCTCCATTCCTCCCTCTTCTCCCTTAGCCCGTGTTCTCAAGAACTTAAAACCTCTTCAACTCACACCTGACCTAAAACATAAACGCCTTATTTTCTTCTACAATGCCGCTTGACCCCAGTACAAACTTGACAGTGGTTCCAAATAGCCAGAAAACGGCACTTTCGATTTTTCCATCCTACCAGATCTAGATAATTCTTGTCGTAAAATGGGCAAACGGTCTGAGATGCCTGAAGTCCAGGCATTCTTTTACACATTGTTCACTCCCTACTCTCTGTTCCCAATGCGACTTGTCCCAAATCCTCCTTTCCCTCTCGCCTGTCCTCTCAGTCCCAACCCCAAGTGTTGCTGAGTCTTTCTAATCTTCCTTTTCTACAGACCCATCTGACCTCTCACCTCCTCCCCAGGCTGCCCCTCGCCAGGCGGAGCCAGGTCCCAATTCTTCCTCAGCCTCTGCTCCCCCACCCTATAATCCTTTTATCACCCGCCCTCCTCACACCCTGTCCGGCTTACAGTTTCCTTCCGTGACTAGCCCTCCCCAACCTGCCCAGCAATTTCCTCTTAAAAAGGTGGCTTGAGCTAAAGGCATAGTCAAGGTTAATGCTTTTTCTTTATGCGACCTCTCCCAAATCAGTTAGTGTTTAGGCTGTTTCATCAAATATGAAAAACCCAGCCCAGTTCATGGCTCGTTCGGCAGCAACCCTGAGATGCTTTACAGCCCTAGACCCTAAACGTCAAAAGGCCGTCTTATTCTCAATATACATTTTATTACCCAATCTGCTCCTGACATTAAATAAAACTCCAAAAATTAAATTCTGGCCCTCAAACCCCACAACAGGACTTAATTAACCTCGCCTTCAAGGTGTACAATAATAGAGTAGAGGCAGCCAAGTAGCAACCAACATATTTCTGAGTTGCAATTCCTTGCCTCCACTGTGAGACAAACCCCAGCCACGTCTCCAGCACACAAGAACTTCCAAATGCCTAACCCGCAGTGGCCAGGCATTCCTCCAGGCCTGCCTCCCCCAGGAGCTTGCTACAAGTGCGGGAAATCTGGCCACTGGGCCAAGGAATGCCCACAGCCTGGGATTCCTCCTAAGTCGTGTCCCATCTATGCAGGACCCCACTAAAAATCAGACTGTTCAACTCACCTGGCAGCCACTTCCAGAGCCCCTGGAACTCTGGCCCAAGTCTCTCTGACTCCTTCCCAGATCTTCTCGGCTTAGCAGCTGAAGACTGACACCACCTGATCACCTCGGAAGCCTACAAGACCATCACAGACACTCTGGGTAACTCTCACAGTGGAGGGTAAGTCTGTCCCCTTCTTCATCAATACGGAGGCTACCCACTCCACATTACCTTCTTTTCAAGGGCCTGTTTCCCTTGCCTCCATAACTGTTGTGGGTATTGACAGCCAGGCTTCTAAACCAGTTAAAACTCCCTAACTCTGGTGCCAACTTAGACAATACTCTTTTAAGCACTCCTTTTTAGTTATCCCACCTGCCCAGTTCCCTTATTAGGCCAAGATATTTTAACTAAATCATCTGCTTCCCTGACTAATCCTGGGCTACAGCCGCACCTCATTGCCACTTTTTCCCCCAGTTCAAAGCCTCCTTCACATCCTCCCCTTATATCTCCCCACCTTAACCCGCAAGTATAAGATACCTCTACTCCCTCCTTAGCGACCAAGAATCCACCCCTTACCATCTCATTAAAACCTGATCACCCTTACCCCGCTCAATGCCAGTATCCCATCCCACAGCACGCTTTGAAAGGATCAAAGCCTGTTATCACTTGCCTGCTACAGCATGGCCTTTTAAAGCCTATAAACTCCCCTTACAATTCCCCCATTTCACCTGTGCTAAAACCAGACAAGGCTTATAGGTTAGTTCAAGATCTGCACCTTATCAACCAAATTGTTTTGCCTATCCACCCCGTGGTGCCAAACCCATATACTCTCCTATCCTCAATACCTCCCTCCACAACCCATTATTCTGTTCTGGATCTCAAACATGCTTTCTTTACTATTCCTTTGAACCCTTCATCCCAGCCTCTCTTCGCTTTCACTTGGACTGACCCTGACACCCATCAGGCTCAGCAAATTACCTGGGCTGTACTGCCGCAAGGCTTCACAGACAGCCCCCATTACTTCAGTCAAGCCCAAATTTCTTTCTCATCTGTTACCTATCTTGGTGTAATTCTCATAAAAACACACGTGCTCTCCCTGCTGATCGTGTCCAACTGATCTCTCAAACCCCAACACCTACAAAAAAACAACTCCTTTCCCTCCTATGCATGGTTGGATACTTTCAACTTTAGATACATGGTTTTGCCATCCTAACAAAACCATTATATAAACTCACAAAAGGAAACCTAGCTGAGCCCATAGATCCTAAATCCTTTCCCCACTGCTCTTTCCATTCCTTGAAGACAGCTTTAGAGACTGCCCCCACTCTAGCTCTCCCTGACTTATCCCAACCCTTTTCATTACCCACAGCTAAAGTGCAGGGCTGTGCAGTCGGAATTCTTACACAAGAACCAGGACCGCACCCTGTAGCCTTTTTATCCAAACAACTTGACCTTACTGTTTTGCCTAGCCCTCAAGTCTGCATGCAGCGGCTGCCACTGCCCTAATGCTTTTAGAGGCCCTTAAAATCACAAACTATGCTCAACTCACTCTCTACAGTTCTCCTAACTTCCAAAATCTATTTTCTTCCTCACACCTGACACATATACTGTCTGCTGACTGGCTCCTTCAGCTGTACTCACTCTTTGTTGAGTCTCCCACAATTACCATTGTTCCTGGCCCGGACTTCAATCCGGCCTTCCACTTTATTCCTGATACCACACCTGACCCCCATGACTGTATCTCTCTGATCCACCTGACATTCACCCCATTTCCCCATATTTCCTTCTTTCCTGTTCCTCACCCTGATCACACTTGGTTTATTGATGGCAGTTCCACCAGGCCTAATCGCCACACACCAGCAAAGGCAGGCTATGCTATGGTACAAGCCACTAGCCCGCCTCTTAGAACCTCTCATTTCCTTTCCATCGTGGAAATCTATCCTCAAGGATATAACTTCTCAGTGTTCCATCTGCTATTCTACTACTCCTCAGGGATTATTCAGGCCCCCTCCCTTCCCTACACATCAAGCTCAGGGATTTGCCCCGCTCCCAGGACTGGCAAATTGGCTTTACTCAACATGCCCCGAGTCAGAAAACTAAAATACCTCTTAGTCTGGGTAGACACTTTCACTGGATGGGTAGAGGCCTTTCCTACAGGGTCTGAGAAGGCCACCACAGTCATCTCTTCCCTTCTGTCAGACATAATTCCTTGGTTTGGCCTTCCCACCTCTATACAGTCTGATAACGGACCAGCCTTTATTAGTTAAATCAGCCAAGCATTTTTTCAGGCTCTTGGTATTCAGTGAAACTTTTATATCCCTTACGGTCCTCAGTCTTCAGGAAAGGTAGAACGGATTAATGTTCTTTTAAAAACACACCTCACCAAGCTCAGCCACTAACTTAAAAAGGACTGGACAATACTTTTACCACTTTCCCTTCTCAGAATTCAGGCCTGTCTTCGGAATGCTACAGGGTACAGCCCATTTGAGCTCCTGTATGGATGCTCCCTTTTATTAGGCCCCAGTCTCATTCCAGACACCAGACCAACTTGGACTGTGCCCCAGAAAACTTGTCATCCCTACTATCTTCTATCTAGTCGTACTCCTATTCACCTTTCTCAACTACTCATACATGCCCTGCTCTTGTTTACACTGCCAGTTTACACTGTTTCTCTAAGCCATCACAGCTGATATCTCCTGGTGCTATCCCCAAACTGCCACTCTTAACTCTTAAAGTAAATAAATAATCTCTGCTGGCAAGGCTATGCTGAACCTCCTTAGGCACTCTCTAATTAGATGTCCTAGGTCCTCCCAATTCTTAGT
The DNA here is from genome assembly GCF_000001405.40 of Homo sapiens. Classification (NCBI taxonomy): domain Eukaryota; kingdom Metazoa; phylum Chordata; class Mammalia; order Primates; family Hominidae; genus Homo; species Homo sapiens. Next base: position 150,117,797 of record NC_000002.12, read on the forward strand.
CCTTTAATACCCATTTTTCTCCTCTTATTCTGTTTAGTTTTTCAATTCATACAAAACCGTATCCAGTCCATCACCAATAATTCTACACGACAAATGTTTCTTCTAACAACCCCACAATATCACCCCTTACCACAAAATCTTCCTTCAGCTTAATCTCTCCCACTCTAGGTTCCCATGCCGCCCCTAATCCCACTCGAAGCAGCCCTGAGAAACATCGCCCGGTATCTCTCCATACCACCCCCAAAATTTTCGCCGCCCCAACACTTTAACACTGTTTTGTTTTATTTTTCTTATTAATATAAGAAGACAGGAATGTCAGGCCTCTGAGCCCAAGCTAAGCCATCATATCCCCTGTGACCTGCACATATACATCCAGATGGCCCGAAGTAACTGAAGAATCACAAAAGAAGTGAAATTTAAATGGCCTGTTCCTGCCTTAACTGATGACATTCCACCACAAAAGAAGTGAAAATGTCCGGTCCTTGCCTTAACTGATGACATTACCTTGTGAAATTCCTTCTTCTGGCTCATCCTGGCTCAAAAACTTCCCCCACTGAGCACCTTGTGACCCCCACTCCTGCCCGCCAGAGAACAACCCCCCTTTGACTGTAATTTTCCTTTACCTACCCAAATCTTATAAAACAGCCCCACCCCATCTCCCTTCGCTGACTCTCTTTTCGGACTCAGCCCACCTGCACCCAGGTGATTAAAAAGCTTTATTGTTCACACAAAGCCTGTTTGGTGGTCTCTTCACACAGATGCGAGTGAAAGTAACCGTCACCACAAACTGCTTGCTGTTCCACCACTGAATGGTACCTATTGTACAACATCCTGGCTGCACTCTAGGAGTTTCTCTTATAGAAATTTGCTCATTCTGGGCACGTGGCTCACGCCTGTAATCCCAGCACTTTGGGAGGCCAAGGTGGGTGGATCACGAGGTCATGAGATCGAGACCATCCTGGCCAACACAGTGAAACCCCGTCTGTACTAAAGAAAAAAATACAAAAAATTAGGGGGTGTGGTGGCAGGCGCCTGTAGTCCCAGCTACAGGGACTGGAGGCTGAGGCAGGAGAATGGCATGAACCCGGGAGGCGGAGTTTGCAGTGAGCCAAGATGGCACCACTGCACTCCAGCCTGGGCAACAGAGCGAGACTCTGTCTCAAAAAAAAAAAGATGTTTGCTCAAAATTTACTTTCACTCCGCTTCACTACTACAATTATTGGAGCCATGCTACAAAAGACACTCTTAGAGTTGTTGCAATTGTACACATCAACACTATTTTTCCCAAGGCCAAAGCTAGAACAATTTGAATAACAAACTAAGTTAGTATTAGATTACAACCCAAAGTATAAAATATACGTATTTATATATATGCATCTATACTGATATTAATAAGTCATTGAATAAATAAATACACAAATGGGGAGAAAGTGACAAACCTTCCTTACAAAAGAATTTCAAAAAACATTTCAAAAACAAAAAACTCTAGAATGTGGAGCTTAATTGTTCTCTCCTTAAATTTAAACTGGACTTAGTGACTTCCTTACTAAGAAGACAGTATTAAAAGGGGAAAATAGTAACTTCATGCTGAGGAAATCAGAAAGACACTACCTTAATCAGTGATCATCAATGTTAACTTCACCAGTTGAAACCCCCTTTGCAAAAATTACATTGGTGAGAAAATTACAACAGTAAAAGAAATCTGATTTAACCCATGCCCCATCTTGCCTTTCCCTTAATTATTTCTGGACTTAGCTAATAAATGCTACAAAATTTCCATAAACATTAAAATCCTCAGAGAGACCAAATTATTTTCATAGAATTGTAGTATTGGATGTTGAAACTCTACAGTATTTAATTTATCGAGAATCTGAGAATGGACAAATTTTACTGGGCAGAATATTCAATTATCAAGAACAATCTATTTTCTAAATTACCATGAGAGTGTGTGTGTGTGTGTGTGTGTGTGTGTGTGTGTGTATACCTGTGTGCTGTAAAAACAAAAGTGTATTGTCCCTGTGATATTTGTCAGGTCTCCACCATCAGACACTTGATCTCTACAGGCAGGAATACTAGCTACTGTGTATTATCTCCAGTGGGTAATTCACCCCTGGTCCCCAATCCTGGTTCTGCTCGCTGCACAGAAGGTGGCTTATTATATGCAAGAGCCTGACTGTATGAATGGGCTGCTCCAGGAAGGTGGGTCCAGATCAATCATTTCTGATGTTGAAAATTTACATTTGAAAAAGGGCTGTTTCCCAGTACCATGGACACAGCTATCAGGAGGGAAACCCCAGTGAAATGCCGGGGTCGTTGTTGTATTGGTGCTGTATTTTGTTTTGCTTTTTGTTCCATAAGTCTAAATAATCAATTTAAGCATTTTCATTCTGAACTGATCCAATTAATTAATTATGTTATCTTTGTATAAGTACCGCTGGGGAGAAATCAAAATAAAATCAGAAGCACAGGCGAGAGAGAGAGGAAAAAAAATCAAGTGTGGATAGTGGAAAGATAAAATAGATAAAATCAAATTTGCACCGAATGTGTTCCAGGTCCAAATTTCCTCCAGCACACATCTTTTGTAAGTAGCTTCCACAGCCCCCGAATGCGGCCAATAAGTGTTTTGCCAGATTCAATATAAATATAACAAGACTCTTCAAATATAACCCTGCTGCTTGCCTCACTGGGCGGTAGTAGCTGTTTACATAGCTCGTAGATAAATAGAAAACTCAATCTGCTTATTTCCAGCTACCATATTAGCAAAAAAGAAAGTTAACGAAGGACGCTGCAAAGGAGTGTGGTGTGTTTAATAAAACACTTTCCCCAGGAATTGAAAGAAGCCTCCGCATGTGGGATGCAGCAGCTCATCACTAATTCAGAATCTCCCTTCAGCCTCAGACTTTTGTCTTTCCTCTTCCAACTGCCGCACTTTCAAGCGTGATGGCTTGCTGAGTAGGCTTCCCTACTCTGGAAGGGAGCTCAGAGGGAAGGGAGAGGGAGAGTTCATTAGGGGTATTTCACAGTCACTCAGATCCCAGGGTCTCTGTCTCATCTTTGCAGATCACACTGCTCATAGAGAGTCTTTCTTTATTTTGTTACTTATCCTTGTACTGCCAGAAGTCTACAAAGACGGGGCTCCTGCATGTCCCCATTCACATCAGTGGGATGTGAGCACAATTCAAAGCCTATCCTGCACCCGTGTACATTCACTGATTGCAAATCAGCTTATTGTATTTTAAAAATTCGACATTTTCTTGAAAATGCAGCATTTGAAGATGAAAATCTTATTCTAAGAGAAGCATATTACAAAAAGGAAGAATAAAATAAAGAGATGAGAGCGAAAGCAGGAGGGGGAAAGAGAACAAAGAAAACACAGACAAATGAACAAAGAGAATGATCAGGTAGGATTATGTTTTCAAATCCAGATAGCTGACCTATGAAAACCAAGTTTTGCTTAAGGTTTTCATTTACTTCTATGCATGTATTTCTTTTCAGAAACCTCTCATCAAAGCCAATCAGCATTGCTAATGTATTGGTCATGTTCCAGCCTTGAGAAGTCAAACTGAGCCAACATTATTAAAGTCCTGCAAAATCAAAAGAGTCAAGACCCTTTCTCCACCAAATGATCCTTTTTTCCTTCAGTTTTCTGGATATGGAGACTTGATTACAGCACATTCTCGTAATTATAAGGTCTACTTTGAACACATTGCTTTATTCCTAGAAAGTCAATGGCCATTAATGATTTTATCGCTGAAATTGGTGGTTACAGGTGGGCATTTGTAGTTTTAACGTGAGCTATCTTTCAAAGAGAACATGGTTAATATGATTTAATAGGAACTACATGTTTTTATGAATCTATAGAATTCTCATTTCCCACTGATTAAATGAAACTTCTGAAGCTTCAAAGAATGTCTAGGTGAAAAATGGGCTGAATTCTCCTATTTGGAAACCTGTATGCTCTCATTTCTGCCCAGGTGCAGTATTTATACCACTGAATCTATATTCAATCTAATTTCCACTCAGTCCAAGCTGATCTTTAGGGCAGGGAGGCTGGCCTAGTAATGTAGAAGCTAGCTACATGTCCTTTTTTTTTTTTTTTTTTTTTTTTTTTTTGCATGGAAAGGACAACTGTTCCAAAATTTGAGCAACCCTCTTAGGTTTGGTCCTTTGCCTGACTGGTTGGCGGTTGTTTCATGTATTTGGCTGGTATTAGAATGCATAGGCAGAGACTACCTTGCACATGCATTCTACATCTATGCACATGCACGTGAACAGAAGTAGAAACATGTATGTCTTTTCTCACTAGTTTAGAATCCAAAGAGCATTTATTCAAAGGCAGTTACACTGTGTTTAAGGTTTAAGGACTTTTCTTTCCCCCAGATGAATAAAGCAGGCACAGTCCTTGACTTTAAAGTGTTTAGACTCTACATAGGAAGATATGCCATAAATAGTATAAAATAAAACAGTGATTTAAGAGCTAAGTTATGATATATGAGAATATGTGTCACAAGACACCTAGGGGTTTATTGTCAAATGTCTGTATAAGTAATGAGTGTTATAAGATCAGATGAATGGTATGAGCACCCATTAACTATTGTATCTTAGAGACAGTGTGAGCTGTCCTCATTTCTGAGGTATGATAACAATTTTCTTTTCTTTTCCTTTTTTTTTTGGGAGACAGAGTCTTGCTCTGTTGCCCAGGCTGGAGTGCAGTGGTGTGATCTCGGCTCCCTGAAACCTCCGCCTCCCGGGTTCAAGCGATTCTCCTGCCTCAGCCTCCCGAGAAGCTGGGACTACAGATGAACGCCACCATGCCCAGCTAACTTTTTGTATTTTTGGTAGAGACGGGGTTTCACCATATTGGCCAGGCTGGTCTCGAACTCCTGACCTTGTGATCCACCCACCTCAGCCTCCCAAAGTGCTGGGATTACAGAAGTGAGCCACTGTGTCCAGCCTGATAACTATTTTCTACAAGAGTAAAACATGTCCTGGTCCCTTGGGTATACCAGTGGAACCCATTGGTGTCACACTACAGGTTTATTATGCTGAGCCATTTTTGTTTCAGCTTTGCTGCTTATTCTGTAACACATTTTTTTTTTTTTACCCACCTGTACTTTGAAAGCCTGATCTTAGACTCTGAGCTTTAATACTCTGCATTTCCAATTCTGTTAGTTTTCTCTGCAGCCAAATGTGCTTACATTCTTGTTCACCCAGTATTAATAAAAAGGATGTTTGCACAGCAGGGAAGCATATTCTCATTTATCTCTGACCAGAAATGTGAAGAATGAAATGGCCTGATGGCCATTATCTTAACCCTGTGTGACCGAAAACATTCTGAAGTAGTGAAAGAAACAATTGGACCACAAAATCCTCATTAAAGTTTTCTTCTATCAGCATTAGACTGCAGATTAAGTCCCCAGTCACATTTCTCATAAGGGACTTTTTTTTTTTGCAATAAATAAATATATTATTTTGTAGTCTACAAAATAGAGTCATCTAACTTGAAAGACTACAAAACTCATGAGTTCAGAGCACTCAGTGGGGGTTACTTGGCATATCATTCCCTGAAATTCCTCCTACCATCCACCCCATTAAAGAGGAATATTAAAGGTCATGACCGTGTTCCTCTGTTGTGATGTCCCAGTCATCCCTTGGAAGAAAGTCAAAGCCATGGAAAGATGTTTCTATTATTTCTGCAGTGACAGGAGTTTCATATTCAGTTTGCTGCATACAAGATCTAAACATAAATGAAAGAAAAGGAATGAATGCATTGGGCTACTTCTCAAAGACAACATAAATAATTCTGAGACTTTTACTGTCATAAGAAACTCTTCAAGAGTAATGTAAGAAGCAATGACACACACACACATGACTAGTAAATATTTCTAAGCAAACTCTAATCAACAAAACATGATCACGAAGAATCTTTAAGTAGATTTTATTGCTGATGGCTAGTCCCTCACTTATAGAAAAGCTTTTCAGTATTTCTCAATATGCACATGGGTTTAGTCAATATATGGCAAAGGCCAGATTCTCTATATATTATTCCCCCTATATACTATTCCCCCCTAAATTAATGGGTTGAGCACAAATTAATCTAGCAACTCATATTTCTCGGATATCTCTATGTATCTAGCACGGAAGGACAAAAAAGGAAAGGCAGGCCTTGTTTGCTGTCTGATATCCTTGAAAGACAATTAAGCAATTAGTAAAAAGCCTGCACTGAATACCCATTACAAAATGCCAAGTAAATGAAAGTCTAGAGCAGTGTGAAGGGGGAAGCTACCTGCCAAATACAGTTACCGGGTGGGAAAGAAGTCAGGAAATGGCAACATTAGAGGGAGTGTTTTGGGGGAGGAAATATAGCTTCAACAGAGCTTTGAAGGATGATATGATGAAAGATGGCACTAGAGGGGTACTATTAAGGACTTGGGTCAAAATGCCAGAATAGTTGTTTCTCTGGGTCACTTGCTACCAAGAACAGTGCTGAGACACCAAATTCTCATCAAATTCCTCCTGGCTACTGGAGAGGTTGCCACCATGGAACGGGAGGAAGTTGGTCTCCTGGTCCCACATATCCCACAAGGGATCTTGACTCTCCTCCCCTACCACTCAGGGGACCCTGGGCTCCTTTCCTCTGGCTCTGAGTTGGTGAATGTTACTCTTTCAGAAGGGCTGTATACTCTTCCCCTCCCTTCAACCTTAATGCCATTACAGCTCTTCCACAGATGTCTGCTATGAAGAAACATCTAGTGAGGATTGTAATGCAGGTATAAACTATTAAAGTACTATATCAGGACAAGAAGATGAAGTCAATCTGAAAGAAGTGATTCATGCAACAAAAGAAAACAAAGTATAAAAAATGATCACATAAATTGACACTTCTGTAAATAGTTAGGGAAAGCCAGCTTGGTATATGTTGGATAAGCGTAGCTGAAGCAGTAAAAAGGAAAGTGAGAAAGATGCTAAGTTTGGTTTAAACTAACTAAGGCAATAGAAGTTGAGTTATCCCTAGGCAGCTGATACCTAGTGGGTGTGTTACTTCTGTTCCCAGCACCTAGCAGAGTGTCTTGTATATAGTAAGTGCTCAAATGTGTTGAGAAAATTGTATTGGGGCCAAAAATAGTACTTTTTAGTAGTTAGCATATAGGTGATGACTCAGAAACTACAAATAATTCCAAATAACCATGATTAATTCCAAGTGTCTTTGCTGTCTCTATATTGTAGTGTATCATTTGTAGAAGGTGGGAGTTGGAGGGTGGCAGAAAGAAGTTATAACTTCTTTTTAATACTCAGGTATTGTTTAGGCTTCCTTTTTCTTAAATGATAACCTGCACCTAAGTCCAATATATATTAAAACAACACTCAGCAACAATTATGAAAGTGCTAAGCAGGGTTGTTCTGATTAAAGTGGGCTTGGGGGTTCCAGAACTTTGCCTTTCTACTCGGTTCCCTGTGGCAGCCCTGTCACTCTTCTGTAGGGCTTCATGGAAAACCACTAACCCAGGCTTAATGCCCAGTCTGTTGTGTTTACCCTTGTCGCTCTGGGTAGTTGAAACTTGTGGTCAGAACAGACACTTCATAGGTCGATTACTGAACCACTATTTACTAATTTTCAGTAGCCGCCGACTTCAGCAGCCACATGCCAGTTTTGCTGGGATATGAAGGGCTTAAGAATATTTGATGAAAGAGTGAGAGAATGTTGTGAAAGGGTGTAGCTCTTTACACTTACAGATATTGTAGGGGTGGGGGTGGGGTGGGGTAGAACACAATAAAAGCATGTGGCCTGAATGGTTAGCCTAGGACCTATGTAAACGTCTTACCCTGGTGGTTGAAAAGTTATCTTTTCCCACCATTTTTATGTACCAGGGGTTCGAAAGAGCCACAGAGAAGCCGCAGCAGCAGATACTGTTCCCATGAGATTTCTGGAATCCATTTGGCCACTGTTCACCTCACCAGCCGGGCATTTGGACATCTCAGAGCAGCAGGCTTGGCATTGAAGCGTCTGTGGTACTCGTTTTGATGTGCACCCAGGTTCGAGCTCCCAGGCCAGCTAAGAGCTATTTCTCACACGTCCTCATTGTTTCGCACTCTCCCTCCTGGGAGAGAGGACATTTGTTAATGATTAGGAAGACAGAGGCTTTGAATCATGCCTCCCACCCACAGTGACACATGGGCTCTAAGCCCTAGCGCCTCGTAGTGTCCAGAGGAATATGAGCTTCCTCTTTTCTGCCCTCTGTGAAATATGCAGCACGTTCACTTATGAGACAAAAAAAAAATAAACAAAACTGGCCAGTCTTCTCTCTCAAAGGTGAGAGGAGCAGACTGAGGTTACTTCTGCCAGACAGAAGTTCCTTGTCCTGTGATGCTCCTTAATAAACTGGTTCATGCTGCCACTTAACTAGATGCTCTGCAGAGAACATAGTTGATATGTAAGAATTTCCCAGAAAATTTCTGATTTGATTGAAAATAAGATTTTTAATACATTTCATTTTATCAAAAATAGTATTTTATTTTTATTATTTAATTGCATTTTGTTAAAATTTAAATTTATTATTATATTTATTGTATTAAATATATGTGTATTTATTTTATTTTATTAAAAATAATGGGCATCTTAATCGTCCAGGCAACCACAAAGGAAACAGACACTCAGTTGTTCAGCTAATGTCAGGATGAGTCAAGCGCTCAAAATGCAAGTCAGGTTATGACAACTACCAGGCGATTGTCAAGTTTCCCCTGTACCTGCCCCTTGGCTCGTGCGGCCGGTCCCAGGTTTATGAGGTAGAGCAATTAAGTGCCTCTCTCTTCAGCATAGGCAGGCACACAGGATTTGGTTGGCTACTCAGCTTAATTTAGCTATGTGCCATGTTTCCCTGGCATGTCATGTGGGGCACACAGTTCAAAAATGGAATGAGAAAGCTGAGGCTTGCTTAACTCGGGTATGAGATTTAGTGCCGAGGCTCCTGTGAGACCCCGAGCCTGCCAGAACTGCACTGTGCTGCCCTGGACCCCTTCTAATCTGAAAGACAATGTGTGAGGCCAAGCCTAGTGACCTGAAAGGGACCCTTGAGCATAGGTGAGCTGTGTTCTGAGGAGGTCAGATACTGTGGAAGGAAGGGCTCCGGTAGTAATGGCACCACACACAAACTTAACTGCACTCACTACACACATCACTTATTACCACTGTCACTTAGGGGACAGGCCTGACTGACCTTGTGCAAATTACAGCTGCCTCTGTATGTGGCCACAGAAAACAGAGGTGACAACCCTTAAGAGAACAGGAACTCCCCTAATGACCTCTAATTACAGACATCAAACAAACTGAAAGCAATTCTTCCCCCTGATTTCCTGAGATTCCCTGGGCTTAAAAGGCCCACAAAACATTTTCTTTCACAAATGTCACCAATGAGCTAGTAAATGCGCATCACTTACACTGACAATGTTTATGTCAATCAAATTATAAAATAATTTTATAAATTATAAAATAACAATGCCCTAACTAGTCACTGACATTTTATCATCAAAGCTAAAAAATACAATCAAGGTCCTAAGGCCACAGCTTGAAGTCAGAAAGTGTCAGAGCCACCTTAGTTTACCCCACCCGGCCTGCTTCAAACTGGTTCCCATGAGCCTGTACTTCTGACAGTAGAAGCAGCATGCGGTTCCTTAATTACTCACACCTCGTGAGAGTGAGATATGACTAAGCCACATATGCAGCCTGCTCTACCCTAATCCCCACCACCCCCCAACACTGTACCCCATCTCTCGCTCTCAGGGACTCAGAGCCTGGAGTCAGGGCCCATTTACAGCATCTATACTTGGCTTAGCTCTTCCTCAGAATTTCTGGAATATCCAAATCTAAGGCCTGCCAAACACTTTTTTTTTTTTTCTGACTGGAAGGAGAACTGGATTGAAATCATTTCTACCTTCCCCTCAGACTCTCAAGATAGAAGGCGCTGACTCTAACAGTGATTCAGGAAAAGAGAAAGTTGTAAAATCCTGGTTTATGGCACTGTGCTGCATGAAATAAATTACCTGTAAATGTGTTGGCCTGCACTGCCTACCTGGTGTTTTAAATTTGAATTAGTTGTCAATATTAAAAAATCAGGAGCTGTCTCACAAAAATCAATTTATGGATTCTCTTAAAAATGAGTATCTGGCAACACTGGGCCTGCAGTCGTGACTGGTGATGATTAGGTGGAATCTATTGACTCTCTGCACAGCGCAGGCCCCCCTAGACCACCATGGCCTCTACTGTGCCCAAATATAAAGTCTAATATCTGAAGCTATTTAGCACCTTGCTCTGAATCGCCTTCATTCACTTACATTATCTGCCTGGCTGCTACATAAACTTGAACTTGTGAGCTCTGCTCCAAGTCACAGTCTACTTTTATGAATCACTTCCCCTGCTGCTCGTGATAGCTGGCCTGGATTTTCTTAAAACATCCATGAGCAGTCTTTGAGAAGAAGTGATGTAGAACCATTCCTTCTTCATGAAGATTCTTGACTCAGGTTCCAGCTGAATGTCTGTGTATGCAAAGAGAATGACCAAAGGTGTGCAAATTAAGACTCTTGAACGCAAGTAGAGGCATCATAATTCCTCCAGATAAAAAATGTTTCCATAAGTTTCATAACTAATTTAAAGATATGTGACAGAGTTACCCAGTAAATGCAGCTTCTAAAATACAGTAGGAGAGTGAGCAATGTGGGTTCCTCCAATAAGTAGTGAGTGCATAGGAGCTCAGAAAAAGGAGAGGTCATTTATAGATGGTGCCACCCAGGTAGTGCTGTTCATAGAGGTGGCATTTCAGTTGGGCTTTGAGGAGTGAGTATATTAGTCCATTTTGATGCTGCTAATAAAGACATACCTGAGATGGGGTAATTTATAAAGAAAAAGAGTTTTAATAAACTTACAGTTCTACATAGCTGGAGAGGCCTCACAATCATGGCAGAAGGTGAAGGGGGAGCAAAGGCATGTTTTACATGGTGGCAGGCAAGAGAGTGTACAAGGGAACTGCCCTTTTTAAAACCATCAGATCTCATGAGACTTATTCGCTATCACGAGAACAGCAATGGAAAAACCCACCCCCATGATTCAATTACCTTCCACCAGGCCCCTCCCACAACACGTGGGGATTATGGGAGCTACAATTCAAGATGAGATTTGAGTGGGGACACAGCCAAACCATGCCAGTGAGCAAGAGTTGAACATGTAGAAAGTGAAGGGAGGAAACATTTGAGAAAAGCACAGAGGGTGGGGAATATGGGCATACTAAGAAAGAGAGTGGTTCAGTTTGCCTGGAATATAGCTGCATTCTAGTACTTAAGAATCCTAAACTATTTAAAATGAAAGGTTCTCATGTCCACCTCCAGAAATTATATTTCAGTGGGTCTGAATGAGCCCCCAGAACCTATCATGAACCATCATCACAAGTGATTCTGTTGTGAAGGGAATACAGTCCATACTTGGAGAAAAATTTGCATCAGGTGTATAGTGGTGGATGCGGGAGAGGTGGCAGGGTCTGGACCACAGACAGCTTTAATTTCAGGCCACAGAGTTTAGAATTTTCCTGTGAGCCACAGAGACTTACCTTTCCTGCTGTTCAATATTAGCATAAAGAAAGGGGATTTCTTAAAGATGACACTCAACTTTAGATCCTAGGAGGCACCATTAATCGAAGCAAGGAACATGAAGAGAGAGATTGTGCATGTGCTCAGATCAGTTTGTAACCTTCCGGTTTGGTCATCATCGGCTTTCCTCTGCTTCTACCACCACTAGCAATGGTGAAGTAGATACCCATGGGCCCTGGCCCAGATCCCTCTCATCTTGGTCTCCAGGTACAAATCTTCCAGGACTCAGTTCCTCATCTGTGAAATGGAGATGACAATAATATCTTTCCTTATCTGTTGAGGGTCTAAGTTGGGTAAAGTATCTGAAAGCCCTTTGAGAACTACATACATGTAAGAAATTATTTTCTTAGGCAGAAGAATAGATTTTTAAAGTTCCTAGCATGGCTAAATGAATGCCAATACATATATGCCATGGTTTACATGTGTTTTCAGAGCATGTAAATGTAATGCTCATTATGAAGTACTAAGAGGAAAAATATAAGCTGGATATAAATTATCTAGAGTGATTACATTTTTTTATTGCCATAACATATGTGGGAAATACAGTAATGTGTAAACAGTGGTTTTCTCTAGTGGTGAGATTGTACATAAAATTCCCTTTTGCTTGATATTTTTCCCTTGCATTTTCAAAATTCTCTTCACAGTCATTTACTACTTTTGTAATCGGAAAGAAGAAACTTTTCTTTTCAGTTTCGGAGCCCTAAAGCCATTCTGAAACCAGTGACATTGCGGAGCAGTGTGCTCTTAAGGCCTCTCTTCAAAGACTTTAGTCTACTTTTATTTTGACGATTCCTGCTTGAGCACAGACCTATTTTTTAAAATTGATTGTGTGTGTGTGTGTGTGTGTGTGTGTGTGTGTGTTTGTGCAGTTTAGATAGAATCCACAGGGAAAAAGAAAAGAAAAATGCTAAAATGCATGCTTTGAGTATGTGAAGACTAAGTCAATATATCTCAATTAGAACCAGGAATCCTTCCAATATTTACATTGGATTTGCTTCCAAATGTTTGGCTTTTAATGGGTTGTAAATAAATTGGAAGGGATGTAACACTGGAGCATAATAAACACAGAGGATGCTAACGTCTGAAGAAAAGAAAAGAAGGGAATTTGTAGGAATAAGCCAATTTTAGTTCAAAAGGGGACATAATCTTGTTTAGAATTTCTCTGATTTTGGGGGGGCAGAAAGAGAAAAGCAGGGGTACATGAGAAGAGACTTGAGACACTGTATTATACCCAGGGCTTCCAGAGCGACAAGAACTGGGTGCCTCTAGGATGTTTAACATAACTTGAAGCCAGAATGAGATCAAACTGCATACAAAGCTAGGACTTACTAATGTCAATATGGCAGACTTCTAAAGTTTGAAAATTAACAAGATAAGAGAGGGAGAGGATTGTCTTCATTATGTGCATTACTGAAATTATCCAAATGAAGGACAGACAGAGATCAAATGGAGAATGAAGTACAGGTAGTGTGTGTTTCAGAGGATGACCCTAAGGTGGAAACCAAGATCATTCAAACTGAATTTCTAATTTGCTAATTATTTATTCAGAAAATTTATTCAAGTCAAGGTGTAAAAGCAAAAATGATCATTTCTCCCTCATAGTTAGTCCTGACTCTTTTTATTCAGAAGAATGTGAGAAATTTAGGGAAGCTAGAGTTACTTGGGTAGGAAAGAGAGCATGTAATAATGTAGGTATAGCAGTTTGTATTCTGTTAATAGATTTGAAATGTAAATTGCAAAAGTGAATTTTCAATTATCAAGAGGAGAAAGTACATAAAGCAATATAAAGTTGAAAACCTAGTTTTTCATCAGGCTTTCATGCTAACTCCATATTTACACACTTGAATTTATTGTAGAAAAGCAAATGAAAATATGTGTGAATGTGACCTAGAAGTGTCATGAAATATTTGAATCTTTGTTGAATTTAGTCAGTAGCTTTCTTCTGGTCATCACAAGAATGTTTTTTATGAGAAATAAAGCACTTCATTTTTATTTCAAAGGCCATTTATTTTCCTGTTTAAACAAGGATAAACACTACGCCCTCAAAAATATCTATCTTCTGGAAATGTTTGATGATTGAGATGTAAATTTGGTATTTGTATTTATATGCTTATGTTTTTATGCTTATGTTTATATGCTTTTGTTTTTATTCTTGGAGGTAGAAGATAGAATGACTTTATTCAAGTCAATAACTAGTTTGGTTTTCCACTTTACCTTGTTGGTATCTGACTAATATACTTATTTTCCTAGAAACTTTTTAGTAATTATCCCAATTTTTCAGAACAAAGATACATGTAAAACAGATATCTATTTATAACTATAAATCTCTTGCTGGCTTGGCTATCATTTGTTTTAAAATATTAATATCACCATTTAAATGCTTTTTAGGCTTACTTAATTTCAATAATCTCTTATTTATCAAATTACTGCATTGTTCTCCTTAGACATAGTCTCATAATTGTATCATAGTCTCATAATTCTATCACCACTGGTGATACATTAATACCACTGGTATCTGGTAATAATAAATAAATGCAATAAAGACAAAGTTTAATGCGGCTGTTTTTTGTTTTTCTTCCTATTGGGTTCACCCTGAATGTTTCGGGGTTTTACAATTATAGAGTCATGGCTGGTTTAGCTAATAAAGAATATGCAAGTCTATACTTTAAAAGTTCAATACCATGCCAAACTTAAAACATTCAAATAAAAATCCTTTGAAATTGTCATTGTTTTTTTAAGAATTTATGAACTATTAGAAGAACTGTGTTCACATTGTTTCTAATTTCATTTGTCAAACAAAGCTAACTGGTGACAATGCTGAGAAAACATGGCTTCCTCATAGAGTTCTGACCCCTGTAGTAAGTACCTGAAAAGATCCATAAGGCAAATGCAATGCTATTTTTTTCTCTTTTCTTTTTCCTTAGGTTGATTAGGTTTAAATTGTGGGGGATATGATAGGGGATTATCCTTAAAAGAAAGAGAAAAATTCAGCACAAATCAGATATCAGAAACTTACATTTATTTTAAAAACTGCATTAGATACATCTTTTGAACACTAATGAAACAGAAAAAGTTCATAGGAACACACTTATTTGGAAATCAGCTATTTGCTTGTTAAAAAATTTTAGCTTGACTCTCTAAAGGAAATTACCAGAGACGCTGAAGACTAAACTAAACAAACCACTCATGTAGTAATTAATAAATGATAATTGGAATGAACTAGAGATATTTGTTTCCTCCTGAAGTGGCAAGTTTTATGCCTTTTAAACAACTTGCTGTTATTTTCAATGAAGAAAAGGGAAGAGAGGGGTCATGAAAAATTAGACAAATCTCAATCAGAAGTGATTTCAACACCTGGCAGGGACCTGTAAGGATGACTTTTTAGCCTCTCAAAGCTACTTCTCCCAGTAGTAAATCTGTCCAGTGCATGTCCTCTCCACCAAGAAGCATCCTTTTCCATGAATTTTGTTTTTTCTCCATTTCTTAGGAGAGGGCTGAGTCAAATATACTCTATGCACTTTTTTTTTTTTTTTTTGAGATGGAGTTTCGCTCTGTCGCCCAGGCTGGAGTGCAGTGGCACGATCTTGGCTCACTGCAACCTCCACCTGCCGGGTTCAAGCGATTCTCCTGCCTCAGCCTCAGCCTCCTGAGTAGCTGGGACTACAGGCACGTGCCACCATGCCCGGCTATTTTTTTTTTTTTGTATTTTTAGTAGAGATGGGGTTTCACCATGTTGGTCAGGCTGGTCTCGAGCTCCTAACCTCGTGATCTGCCCTTCTCAGCCTCCCAAAGAGCTAGGATTACAGGTGTGAGCCACCGTGCCTGGCCTGCAGTTTTTTTAAAAAAGGAATATTTGGGATTTCACTAGGTGGAAGAACAGTTATTGTGACAAAGGTTTACATCTTAAATGGATATTTCAGCCATGCACTTTTTAGCCCATAAATAAATAAATAATAAAAAGCTGAGTTTTTAGATGAAACATGAGTTACACATCATTCCCGTATAGGTAGCAGTGTGGAATCTTTCTTTCTAGGAGGTATTCTATGCATTTAACTATTTTGCAGTAACATCAAACATGAGTCTCTGAGTTAGAAATCAAACCGATTTTCTCACCAAAATGAATGTTTGGAAAAAGTAACCTAGATTTTTACCCTTCGAAAGGAAATAATGAGACTCGCACCTCCTCTTTTCTTCAGGGTTTGACTGTTTGGCGGAGGAAGGGCATCAATGTTTATTTTCACCTGTTTTCTGTAGCATCCTGCCGATGACATCAGTGTCCTGTCTGCTGTGTTAAGGGCAATGAAGGTTATGAAACTAGAAATGAATCTAGTCTGAGAACAGATCACGCAGTCCTTCCATATGCATTGTCTTTGCAGTGGTATGAAAGTATGAGTCAGTATGACTCATTCGGCTTCCTGACCTAGCCAATTGTCTGGCTCTCCACATTAATACAGTCACCTGAACCAGCTTCTCTGTTCATTTGTGTGACCTCTTGGATTTCACCTTTCCTTTGCCAAGCATCAACTTGAAAATTTTCCTCACACATTAAGATGCATTCAAAACCTTGATATTTAGGACGATACAGACAAAATTTTTGGAGTCTCTAATATTATAGCTAAATATTATGTTTTTATAGCAAAATGTTAAATTCTTCGGAATCCAGAAGGCATTTAAGAAACAGACAGAAGTTGTTTTTTTTCACACAGATTTTTGGGGCAACCTAGTCTCACTGTACCCAAAGGGCCCAGGTTAGGAGAACTTTGAAATAAAACTGTAACTAACACCCTATTTTATACTTTCTTGATTTATCCTCCTCCCACTCCCCAGGCCATTCCCTACTTTGGATCAGAAACGGTAGACTATGGAATTTCAGAGATCATCTCTTCCAACACCTTGTCTAAAGGAGGTCATTGCAAGCAGAAAGGTGAAATGCCTTGTTTCGAGTTGATTCAGGTCTGAACCCTTGTCCTGCTTAAAGACAGAATTCTGAACAGAGTTCAGGGAACCCTGTGTAACATCAGCCTTGGAGTGGGGGAAGGGTGGGGAAGCTGAATTATTAGCAAATGGGCAAAAAGCTTTCTGAAGCAGAGAGAAAGAATTTCTACAGCCAATTAGACAAATCACCCTTAAAAGAAAACATATTTCTCGATTAAAGCCTGCCAGCATGCAATATTTCCCAATTAGTTCAAAGAACACAGTCACAGATGTTAGCCAAAATATGCTACATTCTTTAGAAGTCCTCATATCAATGCGTAGGATCTCTTTGATTTTATGAATGAGTTTCATGGTGGGTGTATGTGTGTGTTCCTTTAAAAAGAAGAAACTTATAACCTCAGAAATTTAAACAAAAACACACCCACTGAAAGCACGTCGACAGCATGGCAGATGCTTAACACTAGAGTATTGAAATGGGGAAAGTAATAGTTGCAAGTCCAAATTATCAATGTTCCAGCTTATGACACATTTGATCAAAAAGCTAAATAAAATATTATTTCTTCCATGAGTAAGGCTGCTCTATTTATCAAATAAAAACTCAGATATGGAATAATTTTTTAGTATAAGGATAGCCCAGGTAATTCCTAATTTACCTGACATTTAAATTTAACTTCAACCCTGTGTTTCATCAGGCAACCCGATTTAGGAGAGCATCAAACCCCATATCTCAGCACTTATAAAAGTATTTGTGAAAAATAAACACATATACATGCAAATCACTCTTCCACTTCTTAACAAACTTTCCTGCTTGAGGGAATTGCTAAGTCCAGAAGACAGGCCACTGGAAGAGCTATAACCAGGCACGATGCAATTTCCACCTAGAAATCCTGGAGGCTTGCACCTTCAGACAATCTGTGAGAGAAAATACATTGGATGAAAACAGGCTGGAGCAATGGTAGCAAAGTGTTTTCTTGCCCACCTTTTTGCAAGTTTTCGTCTGCTGCCAAGCGGCCAGCTGGTGTGATTTTCTTTTCCTTCGGCCAAAGTCCATTTACAAGACCTACATTGATGTTGGGTTACGTCATTGGGCAGGCAACTTTGGAGTGTGCCACAGAACATGTTGAAAATTAATCCCATTTGCTGGGAGGGTGGAGGAAGATTCATATTCTCATGACTTTAAGACTTTTGGAATGTTAGAGCTGGAAAAGCTTTATTACTTATAAGATCGTTTAACCCCTTCATTTCACAGACTTGGATCCAGGTAGCCTAAATGATTTTTCCAAGGACTCATAGCAGGAGCCAAGGCCAGCACCACAGATGCTGACTCCTGGTTTCAGCCACTGTTCCACAACTCTGCTATAATCGGATATCAAAATTGGAGTTGGCAATATGTGAATGAACTACAAATCTCTTGACTAATATTTCCAACACTAGAGACCCTGTTGTTCTTTCATTCATTTTACTCTGCATCCATAGGAAACATAGCAGTGATGGCTGCTGCTACTGACTGGCTGCAGTAGTATTGCATAGTGAGCAGATCATGGGTTCTGGACTCAAACAGAGCTGCCCAACTTCTGGTCTGACTCCTTCCTAGCAGTGAGGACTTGGGTAGGTTAGGGAACCTCTTGGAGCATCTCTTTCCTCATATGTGGAAAAGGGGATCATTATGGTACCAATCTCAAAGGATTGTTGCTGGGATGACATGAAATGTGCAGGCGAGTTCTTAGCACAGGGCTTGGCACAACATAAGTCCCCGAGAATGTCAGCTTCTATCCTAAATCATGAATATAGAGTTACAGCCTGTTTTTGCTGCATTCATGTTTCAGCCAGGAATGACACACGTGGTCATCTCTACTTGAAAATAAATATTTTAAGTATTTTCTCTTAGATCAAGGCATAATATTCCATGAAATACACAGATGATTTGAGCCAATTATCCCACAAAGCCAGTAAAACAATCCCATCTTTATTATTCAGAATTCAGGTGAAATTGGTTGAGCAGTGGTGTGGAAAGCCACGTATTATAAATGTTCTCTCTTTCTCTCTCACCCCTCCAAAATATTCAAATGGACAGGGCTGATTATTTTATTTGGCTATTTTAGCAACTGCTTCCAATTACGTTGCTGACTCATTTAAAGATGATTGAATATAGTAGAAGCAAAATTGCAAGTCAGCAGAATATCCCTTTGACAGTGTCTCACTTCTCATACTCCAGTCTTCTCTCACTGCTCCACACCCTAAACGTTGTTTCCTTTTGTAACTAGGATTCCTAAAAGCCTAACTCTGTCACTCCCATATATATTCTGACAGGCCACCAGGGGCAAAAATGACCTTTCTCTACACTACCTCCATGCACATCCGTTGAATTTCCCATTTCCTAAGTTGGCTGATCACTTTAGGAGTTTTGAGATAGAAAATTGTGCTGATTCAATCCAAAGTGTACCAGATGGATGACCCAGTTAATTCAGCCAGGGTTTTTACTTTTTAAAAAAGATTTAAAGCCCTAAATATAGTAGATTTTTTCTGAGTTGTAGTATACGTTGAGGTAGGAATGTCTAAATGGGAGAATTTTAAGCCATGTGACCCAAAGAGGGTAACCCAAATGTCCCCATGTTCTCTAGGCTTCGGGGATCACTCATCTCGTTAATACCAACTGACATGGAATGTGCCCTATCCTGTACAGCCATGGGAAGTCAGCTCTCTCCCCCTTGTATTTCTGTAAATCCTAAGGAATGCTGACATGTTAGACAAATCCATCCTGTAGCGATTTGTCAGCTCTTGTTCTGATCTGCCGCTCTGAACATCTTTGTTGGATACCTCTTTCCACATCATAACACTGCTCTGGGTTGCTGCCCTTCTGCCTTATATGGCTAGGCACCAAACATTGAACGAGTATCCACTTCGAAATGCCCAAAGTACAGCAAACACCAGGTTATGGTATTTAACATTTTACTATGGCTTGAGATGATCTGAAGTGAACTGCAATGGAAAAAAACAAAATTAAAAATTCACTACTCACATAGAATACAACCTTATATTCTTGCCCCAAAAGATTTCCTACCATCTCTCTTTTAAGCCTCCTCACTCCACCCCATCCCCTGCTTTCAGCTTGCACCATGTTCCAGGAATCAGGTCATCTGCCAAGTCTATAGGAATTACAGAAACAAACCAGTGAGTTGTCTGCAAACATCTTGCCCCAGGTGGTGCCCCAACCCAATGGAATGAGATGGACTGCGGTGATGAATGGACACATGAGTTAACCATGAGAGAAACTGACTTATAACTGCTGAATTCTTCTCCGGGGATATCCTAGGAGGACATGCTTGTCTCAGAGTAATGCTGGGCTCAGGAAAATGGACATCTTCCAGGGTCCATTTCTGAAATACATGCAGTTGAGAGAAAAAAAAATGTTTCTCATGGCAAACCTTTTCTCAAAAGCACTGTCTACATCATCCTCTGTTTCTGCTCAGTTTTTCCTGTTCGCACGGTTCTCAGAGACAAGCACACAGCCATTCACTTATTTATTTCATTCAGTAATTATTTACTAAGTACTTCTTGTATACTGGGTGCAGTGCTAGTTGTTAAGGACACAGGATTCAAATAACATCTTTGGTTCCTCCCTAAGGACCTCAGTTAGCAGAGGTTAGGTGATACACAACTAGAAGCAACGCTTAAATATAAAAATTGCAAACTGTGCTCAGTGCTATAAAGAAAAGCGACATGACTTTCTGAGAGTCATTGAAAACTGTCTTTTAGGTTAGGGGCAAGAAAACACTTTATGGAGAGGTGATGTTTACACTGAGAAAGAAGAATGAGAAAGAACTAGCCAAGTGAAGACAATATGTAAGTATGGGCACGAGTGTGGGATGGAAGTGGGGTGGGAGGAGAGAAAAAGAAGATGAAAAACATTCATATCAAAGAAACACTGTGTGCAAAAGGCCTTAAGGGCATTTTACAGGAGCTCAAAGAAGCAGCAGCAACAACAACCAAAACCAGCCAACAACAAACTCAGACACCTGGAAGCAGTGATGCAGAGAGCGGAGGAGATGAGATTGGAGGGCAGCCAGGGACCATTTCTTAAAGGCGTTCATTGTAAGCCCTAATAATGCATTCCATTGCCCTCTTATTTTAAGTGTAAAGGTGAGATTAAGGATGAAGGGGATGAAATGATCAGTGTTGTAGTTTTTAAAAGATGACTCTGTAGAGATAATGAATTGGTGAAAGTAGAAGCGGGGAGATCATTACTGGAGTCGTCCAGGTGAAAGATAATCATGGTGAAAGCAGAAAAAATGAAGAAAAATGAAAAGGCTCGGGATAAATTATGGAAGAATAGCAAGAGTGAAAAACAAGAAATCAATGACTCCCAGAGGGTCACAAGAGAACCTTCTGGCATCTTGGAAATGATCCAGGTGGTTACACGGTGTATTCATAAGTAGAAGTTGGTTGAACTGTACACATCAGATGCATGTGCTTTATGCTCTTTTTGCTCTGTGGGCTATACAATACTGGAACAAAAATGTTTAAATAAACTTTCTGGCTTGGCAACTGTGTGGGTATCAGTGCCTTTTTCTCAGCTGGGAAAGCCTAGGGGAGGAGGTGAGGGCAAGGAATCAAGAGACCCATTTTGGTGTGTGGGCACTGAGGTCCCTGAGTGTCACCCAAGTAGACATGCCACATGGGCAGCTGTGTTTATGCATCTGGGACTGAGAGGAGAGACCTGGGGATAAATATCATGGACCCTTCTCATTTTCAGAATTTACTGCTCCATTCTGAGGGAAATCAGATAGGAAATAATAAACACACCTTCTGAGGAAACAAATTGTGGGAAGTTAAACAGGCTCATAAAATCTTAAGAAGTTTTTACACAGACTGTCTTTCGTTTCTATTGAAATTCCAAAGGCCTGATGGTAACCAGAAGCACTATTAGGCTTTCACTCTATGGAATATTTCTGAAGTTCTGGCAGCAGAGAAGATATCCATAAAAATGATTTCCTAAAAATCATGATTGCCCTAGATTTTATTATTGTTCAAAATCTTTCACAGAACTGCAATACAACTGCTTATGTTGGTGATTTTGAAGTGATTAGATAAAATATGGGCATCTATGCCTTCCAAACTTTTGGAAAAAGTAACCAGAAGGAAAGACTCAAATCAAGCATTTTAATACCTAAAGGGTATGGTAAGTTACAATGTTGACTTTGTTAATTTAGTATATACTAGTCAGCAATCAGTGACAACATATCTGCACCCGTATGTCCCAAAGTCACACTCTTTTCCTGGACTTGGAATTATAACAAGAGGAATTGCAATTATCCAGGTAATTAAAACAAAATTACTATGTGTTTTATTCTTGTAAATACATTAGATAACCATTTTCTCTGAAATCGACTAAATCATTTAGTGTCTTCATTATATATTGCTCTGCCTCCTTGATCCTTTTTTATTTTGAGATGAATGAATCTCAGATGATACAATGAAAACAAAAATAAAAGTAGATATATACGCTTGTGTTCTACCCATTCTCATACACACACACATGCACGCACACACAGAACCTTTGCTATTGACATGCAAATGCAACTGTTGTGGGGCGATGTTTACTATAAAGAATAGTTAAGAAATATAAACCCCACTAGGAATCTGCTCCATGAAGAAATATGTTTAGAAACAGATCTGCCACCCACTGAATAGAATACATGTCCAATCTGAAGGTTCATTATAATTATTTCAGAATGAGTTGACAGCAAACTGCATTGAAAGTCAAACACAACATTTAATCTGCCTCCAAGTTAATCATGGCGGGAGTCACACAGTGATTTCTGTGGGGCTGGGAGGATAATTTTCTGGACTATCACCATCCAGTTTACACCAAGTCACTGGAGATACAAAAACATTTTTGAGTCCCCTACATCCCAATAAATTATACAAATTGTCTGTCAAAAGCAAGTTTGATTTAGTAGGCACTAGTGCTAAGCAAGACACCCAGGGGAGCAAACCAGAAACCACTGATAGAAAATACAGAAAGCCTGGAGGGCACAAATGCAATGGGAAAAGATGCAACCGCCATATGGCACAATATAGCTCATGTGACAGTCATTTCTTTATGTGTACTTATGTTGTAAGCACGCCTTAAAAATTCAGTCCAGACTCTTTTAGGGAAGGCGGCAAAAATAATGTAGATATTCAGCGCTTAGAATAGAAGGAGGCATGGACCAGGGTTTGCAATGGCAAAGTGATAATTGAGTTACAGATTACAGAGGTAATCAACATCTACATTCTACATTCTAAATAGCTGTTAATGTTCTAAGCATTAGAACTAAACTAAAAGCAGCAAAAAAAAAAAAAAAAAAAAATCCAGATTCAGTTTATTTGTGGGAGAAAGATGAACAAGTTAATATCAGTGGCTAAACAAAAAGCTAGTACCATGTAGGAATTGCTGAGCAATTTGGCTGGAGTCAGAGACTGCTGTGGAATGAAACCAGGCTCAACCTCTTCCTAATTTCCTAGCTGTGGGAAAACCATGGCAAGTCTCTGTGCCTTCATTTCCTGGTATGTAAAATAGGAATAATAATGGACCTTTCTCATAAGGTTATCTTGAGGATTAAATGAGTTAATTCTTGTTAAACCACTGACAATGCTTGTTAAATAAGTAAGCTCTTAATAAATGTTAGCTACTGTGATTTGCAGATGATGAAACAGCTCAATAAGACGTTTTCCTCTAATCATTATTCTCATGCACTTATTTCATGTTTCACAAGAAGGCAAGAAGTAATTTATGAAAGTTTGTTCACATCCTTACTTGCCTCATTTTCTACTAAAAAGCAAAGGTGACCATATCCTCAGACAATCTTATTCCTTCTTTTTGTTCAATGAACTTGGAGGAACTCTGGCAGTGGCAGTGTCTTTGCTGTCTCAATCAGAAGCTAACGTTCTAGAGATATGCAAATATTTAGTACAAGAGTGTTTTTACAAATTATGTACTAGGCTGCATGTGGGAGTACAATGCACAATAAAACTAGGTCCCCGCCCTCAGGCTGTTACAATAAATTTCCTGGCAGATATTTGGATCCCAGGCAGAGTAGGTGGGTAAGAAGTAGGCAGGTGCCAGGCTGTGCTGCCTGACATGCAATGCATGCTCAGTAAACACTCTCTCTTCTCAGTCTTATTTTCACAATGTTTAAAAACTCTCTAGAATGTCTTTCAATTTTTCAGCCCTTCACAGTTGGATTATGGAAAAAGTAAATCAAGATTTTCCAGTGTGTATTCTCATGCTTAAGCTCTATCACTTACTGTTTTCATGAATTAAAAACAAAATTCTATTTTTCATTGTATTAAAGACTTCCGTTGGTGGTTCACCACACAGAGAGGAAATGAGATGCATCTATGGCCCATTATGTCATTTTATGGCTATTTTTTGCTCGTATAAGAATATTCCCCATAGGATGATTGCTTATCTAACTGTAACTGACTCATGTCATGATGCTTCCTGCCCTAGCTTTAAAAGTTTAAATGATGTCAGATTTTATGATTGAAGACTTTTACCAATAATGAATCTAGTTTGTAATAGAAACTGACAATTTTTAGTCCTGCAAAACTTACCTCTACATGGCACAAAAAATACAGAAACATAAGTAGAAATCAAATTGTAAAATGCGTCCCTGCTGTCTCAATCTGGAACTAACATTTCATATTGTCAGAATATCAAAAAGCTTCCGTTCACAATCATTTGTCTATTTCAGGATATCATAAATGTTTGCTATTACATAGATCAGCATCAAAACCACACTTTAGAAATTTCTTAACAATGAACATTGCAAAGCATAATTCTAACAAGAACTGAATGAATATTGATTGTTACAATAAAATATTTTATTTAAACATTGTATGCACTTGGTGCTTTAAATTGTAAAAGTTATAATTGTTAGATTAAATTAATATTTTGTTATAAAAATTCCCAAAATATGATACATTTATTTTTGAAATGGAGTTTGATCACATGAAGTAAGACTATCATCCTTGATTTTCTATTATTTTATGTCTAATGTCATAGTCCATTTATATTTTTGACCTCATATAATTCATTCATTCATTAATTCAGTAGATATAGTTATTATCTGCTCTATATAAGGCACTGCAGTGGGATCCGAATTGTAGAAGAGAACAAAGCTGACAAAATTCTCTGCCCACCTGAAGCTGCCATCCTAATTTCTCAAACAGCTCTAAATCCCACAAGAAACACAAACATTACTCTGTTATCAGGGATGGTAAAGAGTAGTCAGGATAAAAACATTAACAAACATTTTATGCATTGTCATGGCAATATCATAGAAACAAAAAATGATTCATAATAGAAACATTCTTCATCTATTGAACACATAGTATGTATAGGTCATGAGCTAAGCATTTTATGGGCATTACCCTGTTAACCTCAAAATCTGATGAGTTGTACCATAACTATTTCCATTTTACATATAAGGAAAGCATGTTTCATTCAAGATGACACAGCTTTTAAATGATAGGTCTTCATTTCAATATAGGTCTGGGGTCCAAGTCTGTGTTCTTAAACATTATGTTCAATAAATTCTGGGTTATGCGAGAGGCAGTTGTAATATAATAAATTTCTAGAAAATTAAGCCCATCTAGATTTAGGGCTGATGAGATATTGAAAAAACAATAAGTGTTCAGCAACTCTATTAGAAAGTCTGGCCATAAGGCTGTAGAATTAGCATTTGCACAAGGAACTAAGAGTGGTGCTTCACAATCTTACCGATACATGTGATCGTAATACTTAACACGTGGAAAAGTTGAGTGGCCCAAAAGGTAAGCATTGTTCAAGAGGACCAAAAGAGGATGCAACATTCCTAAGCTCTGTTTCACTTTTGATTTTCACCATTCTATTGCATTAATTCATGACGTTTTGAGTCATTCAGAGGTCATCTGATTAGAGAGTTGCTTTCTTATAACTTTTCCAGACAACTCGCATTATGTATTTGTAGCTGATTCCCTGTGGAAAGAAGTATGAAAATAACCTCATTCTTTTCAAGTCTGAGAAAAGATGCCAAATGAAGGAGGTCAGTAACACACACGACATGGGACAGCTGGGAAACAGGGGACAGGTGCTTTGTGAGTCAGTAGTAGCTGGATTCCGCTCAAGGGTTGCATTCTTCAAGATGTCTAAATATTTGCATCAAGATGAGTGTATTTAATTTGGAAACCATATAAATTAATACAGATCACACATACAAATTAATGCAAATTCAGTGCTCATTTTGAACACTTTTAACAAACCTCTTAATAAAGTCAACTAAAATTCTGGATAATTTAAAAAACAAAACAAAAAAACCTTATGAAGCAGCATGAAAGCAAGAAAACTATGGGTATCAAAAACAAAGAGAAGTCAGGGATCCTGGGAGTTGTTCAAACACCAAAGTTGTCTTTTCTCCTAAGAGCAGAAACTGGGAGATTGGAGACTTTCATTGTAATGGCTGCAGAGAGCACAGAGATCAAGAGATAAGACTTAGGGTTGAGATTGTTACTCTCTACTCCCAGACTATTACTACAGACACAGAGAGTTCCCAGTATTCTGGTCTTGCCGTTCCCTTCCCCAAATAAGTTCAAGCTATAGCCGGATAGCAAAGAGGAGAGTGTGGAGAACAGTGTATGTGGGTCTGGGATTTGTCTTTTCCTTCCTCTCATCTAGATGGATAAAGAACTACCTAGATTTGTAATCTCACCTTCCCCTCCCTTGGGGTCACACAAAAGCCCATCAAGCTTTCTGACAAATGCACTGCTGAAAGCACATTCATAACCCTGTCCAGAAGTGAGCACAAGAATGCACATTCATGCACAATGGATTTGCTCTTGTCTTCCCAAAATCCCAGAGACAAGCCTGGGTGCTTGTCATTTGCTGATTGGAACAAAGGCAGCTACATGAAGGGTGCGCTGATTGTTGTTTATTTGCATGCTGGGCAGTGTTTCCATCATGGTCTATATTTCCTTGGACAACGCCCTCAAATTCCTAGTGAAGTTAGTTTTAGGACTTCTGTAATTTGCTCTAGCCCTCACTTTAGGTCTTTGGACTCTCTCTCCTTCCTTTGCAGATGGAAAGGCAGAGAGGACCAGAGACTGCCAGTAACACTATCTCAGGCCACTTACTTACTCTGGGCTAACACTGCTAGGTCCCAAACACATGTGGCAGGTACTATCATCCCCATTTTGTGAATGTTAAAACTGAGGTTCAGAGAGGTCTAGGAACCCACCAAAGTCACACAGCTAATAGGTAACTCAGGATTCAAATGTTGCTCTGTCTGACCCTACTGCCAGCTCCTTAGAGCTCCCTCACACAGCCTCTGCCTTTGTGGTGGCCGCATTATCAGCTGCTCAGTTCAGGAACTGGCAGTGAGGCTTCTAGAAGCTATGAAGAGTAGCTGTTCCCAGTGTCAATATCCCAGCAACCTGCCTCATGATTCAATTATGGCAAGAGTCTCAATCAAGCTAGGACTTTTAATTGGGCAGACTCAAAGCATTTAGAACACTTTAAAAAAATAAGATTCTTAAAATTCTCAAGTTTTATTGTTTCTGTTTTATTATTCCTTTAGCACTAGATGTCTTATAAAATTAGCTCAGTTATAATGATCACAAGAAAAATACTTTTAATTTCGTTGAATAAGGACCATGTATAGTAGGGTGAGTAATCTCTAAGTCTTCATGCTCTCCCAGAATACAAGATTACTCATGATTCATAGGGACTGTAACACAGGGTCCTTGGGATCTTATGAATAAATCAGTTTCTTTTTCTGAGTGTGTTAATATTCAACTCTTATTGAGAAGGTCAGTTCTCTCTCTGCAGCCATTAGCTTCTTAAGGCCATGGAGCACATTTCTGGAAGCCTACTTACTTTTACCCATCACCTTTTTTCAAAAAACCTGAAACTGGCTCGAATATAATATATTGAATTATGTTTGGGAAGAGTGCTGGGAAAGCTGAACTGATGATCCTCCAAAATATGCTTGTCACCTGCTGTGAGTTTCTGAATCGTGCCATGAAGAATAAAGTACTGCCAGGAGTGTCTCCGAGAAAGTGTCAAAAGTGTCTGATTTAATTGTTAATGTAAGGATTTAAGATGCTGTTTTTCCCTGGTGCTAACATCTCTCATTGATTCTGGAGCATTTCCATTTGTTGTTTAACAGAAAGAGCCTCGGTATTTATAGCCCTATCACTCTAGAAGGGAAGCATTTGCAATTTGCACTTTCAATTTTGACTCCTAGCCTTCTTTTCCTTTAAATACCCTTCAAATGAGTGTCAGATGCAATTCAAAGAATGCTTTGCAAGAGGTTGCACAAAGCAATTCTCATCCCTATAGGTGAACATTTCAGAAGAATCCCCATACTTCTTTGCTAATTGAAATCTAAACTCATGAGCCCTAGTTAGCCTCAATCCCACTATTGTCAGGGCTCAGGGGAAGATTTGTGTGTGTGCGTTCTTGTGTGTATGCTGCAACTGGAGTCATACCCTATGGCAGATTGCTTTATCTAAAAGTGGTCACATCCGTATGTATTTCTATTCCATTCCACATGCTTTTCTTACATGTGATGTTAGCATTCCTCCGTCAAGATATGGGGTCTTTGTTTCTTCCTCTTGAGCTTGAGGGGATCTTTGTAAATCCTTTGATCAATATAATGACATAGAAGTGGTGCTGCATGACTTCCAAAACAAAGTCATTAAAGGCAGGACATATTCTACCTCTCTATTTCTCTCTCTCTCAATGCTGCCCTTTAGCCACCATGTTTTGAGGAAGCCCAAGACACATGGAGAAGCTATAAGTGGATGTTCTAGCCAAAAGTCCCTGGAAACCATTAGCTGATATTGTAACCATCCAATGGGTTCTTTTTGTCCACTGCCCAGGTAGACCCTATTTATCAAGGCAGGGGAATTGCAATAGAGAGTTTAATACACATAGAGCCAGATGATGGGAAGCTAGAATTTTATTATCACTCAAATCAGTCTCTTCAAAGGCTCAGAAGCTAGGGGTTTTTCAAAGCTAGTTTGGGGGAAGAGGTGGAGATTGCTAGGCAATGGGTGCTTGCTGATTGGTTGGGGCTGCAATTATAGGGGTATGGGAAATGTTGCTCCTATGTGCTGAGTCACTGCTGGGTGGGGCTACAGGAGTGGTTGGCTGGTCCAGGCAGAGTCATCAGTAGTCAGATATGCAAAAAACTTGAAAAGATATCTCAAAAGGCCAATCTTAGGTTCTACAACAGTGATGTTATCTGCAGGAGTAATTGGGGAAGTTGCATATTTTGTGACCCCAGGAATAATGGCTGGCAATCCTTTATGTCTACACCTTAGTAGAATTCAGGCTCCTCTATCCTCCTAGCCTGGTGGTCTTTCATTAGCTTTACAAAGGCAGTTGAGTTTTGGGGAAAGGCTATCATCATTTAAACTATAAACTAAGTGTCTACCAAGATTAGTTTGGCTTAAGCCTAAGAATAACTAAGGGCAGATTGAAGGCTAAAGGCAGGATGGGGATTGGCTAGATCAGATCTCCCTTACTACCATAATTTTATCACCAATAAAATTTATGCAAAGGTGGTTTCAATTTCATGACTTCAACCTCACAAGAGACTGAGTCAAAACCAATCATAGGTCAAGCCACACCCTAATGTAACTGCTCAAGGGATTCACCTTGCCCGTTGCCTAGAAAGAGCCAATTTATCAAGACAGTGGAATTGCAATAGAGAAAGTAATTCACACAGAGATGGCTGTGTGGGAGACCCAAGTTTTATTATTACTCAAATTAGTCTCCCCAGGCATTTGAGGGTCAGGGTTTTTCAGGATAATTTGATGTGGGGGGTGGAGCAGTGAGTCAGCAGTGCTGACTGATTAGGTCAGAGATGAAATTATAGGGAGTTGAAGCTGTCTTCTTGTGCTGAGTCTGTTCCTGGGTGGGGGCCACAAGATCAAATGAGCCATTTTATCTATCTGGGTGGTGCCAGTTGATCCATCAAGTGCAGAGTCTGCAAAATATCTCAAGTATTGCTCTTAGGTTTTACAATGGTGATGTTATCCCCAGGAGCCATTTGGGGAGGGTCAGAAACTTGTAGCCTCCAGCTGCATGACTCCTAAACCATAATTTCTAATCTTGTGGCTAATTTGTTAGTCCTACAAAGGCAGTCTAGTCCTCAAGCAAGAAGGAGGTTAGTTTTGAGAAAAGGCTATTATCATCTTTGTTTTAAACTATAAACTAAGTTCCACCAAAGTTAGTTCAGCCTATGCCCAGGAATGAACAAGGATAGCTTGGAGGTTAGAAGCAAGATGGCGTTGCCTGGGTCAGATCTTTTTCACTGTCTCGGTTATAATTTTTCAATGGTGGTTTCACTAGTCCATAGAAATTGTGGGAGATAATATATGATTATTGCTGTTTAAAATTATTACATTTGGAGAAGATTTGTTATGGCACAATTTAGAGATCAATCAGTTCACAAATATATTTTTCCTATTTGGTGGACCAGGGAGAAGAAACAAAGCATTGATCTACTCATTCATTTATTCAACAAGTATTTGCTGAGCACGTACATGTGCCAGGCCTTGTTCTGGGGCTGAGAAAACAGCAGGGAATAAAATAGAAAATTACGCTTCCCTCATGGAGCTGACCTTTTAGAGGACTCGACCGTGTTGCTCCAAGTTTCCCAGGGTGACCACCATGCATTCCATGCTGCTCCCTCCTGTTCTGCTGAGTCAGAACTATTGAAAAGGAGCCAAGTGTGGAATATCCTTAGCATCACAAGGACATTGTCTACTCTTCTCTAATTATAAGTAAAAGAGCTAATAGAATGCAAAGCTAGGGGAAAAAGAGGAAAATGTTAATACTGAATCAAACCTAACTCAATTAAAAAAAAAAAAAGAAAAGAAAAAGAATTTGGTAATAATTTCTGAAGGAAAAAGAAGGAGGAAGGTAATTTTTGATGGTAGAACACTTCTGAGCATGGAAAGTGCATCTGATTAGAGACTTTATCCAGTCAGAGGGAAGCCGGGGACATAGGAAACCATAGGGTATAAGTCAGAAGGAAAAATGAGAAAAATCCAAAGGAACATTATGCTTCCCTGGAAATTGTGCCGAGCCAGCTCTTTTGAAGACACAAAGGGCTACAAAAATCACAACCATTTCTAAGTCACCCCAGAGCTCATATAAAATAGCCAGATTCTATGACAGGTTGCCTGCAATTTTTCTTTTGCTTAGCTCTAAGGGTTTATAAGAGGAAGAGTGAAATCACCAAGCCTAACTTTTCTCTAAGGTGGGTCAATTGACTGCCCACCATAGGCAAATTGCAGATTTTGCAGGCCCCTAGAAAGTTGTAATTGCAGATTGATTCCTCCATCCTAAGAGGAGGAAGAGTAAAGCTGCTCACTAGGCTCGAAGCTGGGTAGAGAGCCTGGTCAAACTGTTGGTGCCTCATGACTCAGGAGCCAAACAGCAAGGCACCTTGTGAGAAAAGATTGGAAGCACCGCCAGAGCTCTGAGGACTTCCCAGCAAGCCTAGGAGTGTGAATGCCTAGGAGATGGCCAGCTGGAAAGCAATCTTGGGTCTCAAAGGATTTCTCTGCTCTCTTGTGAAAAACAATAATCTTCACTTCCAGCAATCACCTGATTAAAAATCTCACTTCCGTGGTCTCTAAAGTTCTTTCAATATCTAAAAAAAATTTGGCATAGTCTTTTATCACAACTATGGCTAAGAGGAAGCAAATAAAGTCTGGGAATCTTGATAGGTATTTTTTTGTTGTTGTTAATTAAAGAGTTTCTAAGATTAACCTTCTCTCTACAACTTACAGCCTCTTAAAGTGGAAAAGATAAAAGTGTCATCTAAAGAAAAATGCCCCAAACTAAAGCTGGCTTAAATGGAGAAAACTCATAGAGAGAGTTACTTGTGTTTTAAACACATACACAATATAAATGGTGTCAAAAGTTTAGAATCTAGAATTTTTAAGTCTACTTTATGTTATCTACAGAATACATTCTAAATTTGAAAGCAAACTAAGAACAATATTTCTCTTAGTGTTTATTTCAGGTTTCTTTTGCCCCAAATTAATTGGGAAGCAGGGAAAAATAAAAAACTAAAAAATGTTTCATCCAACCACAGGGAGAAAACCAAACACTCAGCCAAGCTATTCGCCTGGGCAGCCTGCACCTAGAAAGCACAAATGACTCTCTCTTCTACCCTTCTCTCTGATAAAAGAATACTGAGCTATTCTTTGAATGAAAGAAGAATCTCTACCTACATAGTGAGATATACCTTTAAGGGGAAAAATAAAAATACTTCTTGGAAAGTACACAGTTATATGGTTAAGGGATTTTTTTTTCCCCTTAACAGAAAAATTATAAACCTACCAAAACATGAACATTGTCAAAAGATCAAGGAAAAACATTTTTGCCATATTTATAGATTTTTTTTTTTAGTGACAGCTTATTCAAATCACCCAATAGGAAAATGACTTACAACCTGGCAGAAAAATGGCAAAAGGATGTGAAGTGGCAATGTACAGACAGCAATATAAATAGTTATCATACAAGAGATATTCAGTTTCACTCATTCATGAAAATGTAAATAAAAAAATAAATGGGATATCATGTTTTACTTCTCAGGAAGACAACAAATTTAAAAGTTTGAGGTCATCTGGAGCTGTTAGAGAGCTGGGAAATGTGAGCTCTCATAAATTGTTAAGTGAGATAATAATTTGGTATAATTTTACAAAAGGAAAATTTGCCAATACCTATCAAAATATAAAATAAACATGTCTTTGACCCAGTAATTTTACTACATATACACACACTCAAATAAAGTTTACTTCTAAAAATGCCCCTGAATATACATGAAAAAATTTTATGTTAATATGTGTGTTTAATTATTTGTGTGTGGCATGGCCTTATCTTCACACATATGGGTGTCCATTGCAGCACTGTCTGTAAAAGATTAAAACTAGATACGACCAAAGTCCATCTGCAGGGATGTGGGACTGTAAAATAATAAAACACTGTAAAGTCATTAAAAAGAATAAATTAGACCTGTATGAAATTATATGGAAATATCACATAATGCAAGTGAAGGAAGCAAAGTGTAGGACAGTCTATCTAGTATGATTATTTTGTTATGAAATAAACATACAAACGTGCAGGGAAAAGAAAGACACAAGGACATGCAATGACCTCCAACCCCCACTGTAAGATATATAAAACCGTCAATCAGTTACACTTTGGAGAAAGCCTGGGAGGTGGGGTGGGCACAAAGGAAAAGAATTTTATTTTTTTGACTTGTACATTTTTGTATATTTTTAGCCTCATACATTGCTAATTTTATAAAAATACCAAAAAGTTATCTGACAAGGAAAATTATCCAACTCTTGTTTTCTCCTTTGTACTTCTCTGCACTAAATATTAGCTAATACATTAATATATACATATAGTTTCCTGGCTCTTTTTCTTGCATGTTGAAAATCAAAGTTAAATTTCTCTACCAGTTATATAATTAAAGCCTGTCAGATTCAAAGAGAAATTATGAAAACTGATTTTCTAAGAAAGGGAGGACATAAGGATGCACCACTGATGCTCTTACTTTTAATAAATCCTTTTCTTTAAACAGCAATAGGTTTTCTAGCCAATCTTTTAATGTGATTCTTCTGCTCATGCCAATTCATGTCTGGGGATGGTTTCGCTGCCTTTAGTTAAACACTAAAGAGTTGTCAGGCAAAGGCACCAAGTCAGGCGTCTTCAGGACAGATACCGAAACACAGAAAGGACCAAAAAAACAGAAGTAAAATAAACCTGAGAACTTAAATAAAATGGACAAATTCCTTTAAAGGTAAAAATTAGCAAAACTACAACATGAAAGAGAAATTCTGAATAGTTTTATAGCTATTAAACAAATGGAATTACTAAGTAAAACCCAGTAACAACTAGTGTACTATTATATATACTAAAATCTAAAACCTGACAATAGCTAGAATGATCTATATGGTAATTGATTAGAGTAGGAGACATTAATATGAATTCATGTTAGATTAATGTAGATATAGAGATAGATTATATGTAGAAATATTTATCGATTATATACTGCTGGAGTGAAAGCACACAGGTATCTGTATAAAAAGGATCATTATCTCTTACATCATGGCATATGAAAAAATTAACTTAAAATACATCACAGACCTGAAGGTAAAACTTAACTATAAAACTTCTTATAAAAAAAGAATAAAAATCTTTGTATCCCTGGGATAGGCAAAGATTTTTACACAGAACACAGAAAACACAAAATCATAAATTTTAAAAATAAAAAAATTGTATTTTATCAAATGAAAACCTTTTTCTCTTTGTAAGACAACATTATGAACATTAAAAAGCAAGCCACGAAGTGAGAGGAGTTATTCGTAATATGTAGATCTGACGAAGGACTTTATTCAGAATACATAAAGATATATCACAACTCAATAATGAGAAAAACAAGCTATTTAATAAATGAGGAAAAGATTTGAAAAGATGTTTCAAATGTGTGGCGGGGGCAAGGGGTATATGGGACATCTCTGTAACTTCCTTTCAGTTTTGCTGTGAACCTAAAACTGTTCTAAGAAAATAACGTCTTTTTTTAAAAAGCAGGCATTTTATAGCATAGGCTAAAACTGCATATGCAGCCATGATATAATTCTATGGATACACGCACATCATATGGAAATGTTCCTTGACTGGGTCTTAAAAAGTAACATAAAATGAAATAAAGAAAAATCAAATAATTTCTAATCAATCAGTTTACAATCCTGGGAATTTTTCATTTAGCTAAACTTACCATAGAGATAACATAAGATGCAAGAAACAAACCAAAAAAAAAAAAAAGAAAAAAAGAAAGAAAGAAAGAAAGGAAATAAGAAAGAAAGGAAGTCCATTAAGCAGAATTCAAGTTGTCACATATTTATAGCTCCATCAGAGGGGTCCATTTGTTAACAGCCGATGAACCTATGTTGACACATCATAATCACTCAAAGTCCACAGTTTACATTAGAGTTTGCTATTGCTGTTGTACATCCTATGAGCTTTGACAAATGTATAATGACACGTATCCATTTTTATAGTGTCATATAGACTAGTTTCACTGCCTTAAAAATCCTCTGTGCTCCAGGTATCCATCCCCCAATCCCCAACCCCTGGTAACCACTGATCTTTTTATGGTGTCCATAGTTTTGTCATTTCCAGATGTCATATACTTGGAATACAGAGTATGTAACCTCTTCAGATTGGCTTCTATCACTTAGTAATATGCATTTAAGTTTCCTCCATGGCTTTTCATGGCTTGATAGCACATTTCTTTTTAGTGCTGAATAATATTCCATTGTCAGGACGTACCACAGTTAATTTATTTGTTCACTTGCTGAAGGATATCGGCATCATGGTTGCTTCCAAGTTTTGACAATTACGAACAAAGCTGCTGTAAATATAAAAAAAAGAAAAGACATTTCAGAGAAGAACACATGACATCTAATAAGTACATTTAAAAGTGCTCAACATCATAAGTCATCAGGGAAAAAAGTTAAAATCACCATGAGATACCTCTACATACTCATTGAAATAGCTAAAATTAAAATGACTAACATCAAATGTTGGTTGGAATATAAAGCAACTAAAATTTGTATCTATTTTCTTGGGACTACAAAATG
Organism: Homo sapiens; assembly: GCF_000001405.40. Taxonomy (NCBI): domain Eukaryota; kingdom Metazoa; phylum Chordata; class Mammalia; order Primates; family Hominidae; genus Homo; species Homo sapiens. The sequence continues at coordinate 150,153,062 of NC_000002.12, forward strand.
GTAAAATCAATTTGGAAAAATGTTTGGCAGCTTCTGCTAAAGCTGAACATACATCTACCATTAAATCCAGACATTCTACTCCTAGATATTTGCCTAAGATGAAAACATATAGCCACACAAAAACTTGTACACAAATGTTTATGGCAATTATTTTTTGATAATCAAAAATCAGAGGGAGGGGACCCAAATGTCTATAAAACAGATGAATGTATAAACTGCAATGTGTCCACACAAAGAAATAATAATTAGCAATAAAAAAGATCAAAGTACTAATTTAGCAACATAGATGAATCTCAAAATTATGTTGATTGAAAGAAACAGAGCATTCTGTTATTTTTACACTTTTGTATAAAATTTAGAAAACGCAAACAATCTGTAACGACAGAAAGTAGACCTGTGGTTGCCTGGTGCCAAAGGCAATGTGTAAAATCAATTTTAGAGAGGAAAGAGGAATTGGGGAGGGAGATGGTGATAAAAATGCCGTGTCTCCATTGTAGTGATGGTTTCTTGGGTGTATACGGGTGTCAAAACTCACATAATTGTATTTATTGTACATAAATTATATTGCAATAAAGTTTTTTAAAGAGTCATTTACCTATTATTTTAGACAGAAATCATCAAGAATTGAGAGAAACATACACAAGAGTTGGAGTAAAAGGTGGAGCCAAGATTTAGTCCTAGCTGATAAATATCAGGAAGGCAGAATCAAGAGAAAGATATCTTTGGTCTTAACTGCAAGAGATGGCAAGTTACCAGGTCTGACACTGATGTGTTCAAAGGTTCTGGTGTTGTGATAGGAGGTGTTATCTCACCAAGTTGCTTTCTCTAATCCATTCCTTCTTTAACTGGTCCCCATACTCCCTGCCTCTGAAGCTATGGATTCCAAGGTTAACACTCACCTTAGAACTCTGCCATATAAATAGTAAGATATTATCTGTTAAGCCAATGTTTCAAGTAGTGATGTCTAACAATCATTTAATGTCCTCTTCCTTCAACACCCCAACCCCAGTTGAGACATTTGACTTTTAACAGGGTGCTCCCACATTTAGTAGAACCCACACTGTAAACTCTATAAAGGTGTGAGTCACGGCACTAAGGCTGATGAAGGGCGGGATGAGTTCAATCAGTGGAGCTTTTAGCTTGGCTCCTGCAACCATGAGATATTTTCCCTTCTAACAGTAAGGTCTGCCCTACCAAATTGTAAAAGAATGAAGACCAGGACTTTTAGCAAACAGAAAATCACCCACACAAAATCAGAGTGTCCCCAGGACAAATGGCACCTTTCCAGGACATCTTCTGAGTTCTACCACTGTTGTCATCTCATGCTTCAGTAGGGGACTCAGGTGCAAAGGTAGGGCACACATGCCCTAGGTGACCTCCTCAGAACCCTGACCTATTTCTTTCAACTACTTGCCCATATGCAAAGGCAACCTAATAGAATCAAAAGAGTTTCTTTTTAAAGCAGGTGTGTGATCTTGTGTGGGCAGCTTTTTAACTTCTACCCCGTGAGAAAAGCAAACATCTTAAGCAATCAAAAATTATGTAGTATGTGTAGTAATTGTTTCACAAGCTAATAATTTTTCTCCTCCCTTCCTTTTCCCTTCCCTCAGTGCAAGCTGTAGTGGCTTGAATTGTGTTCCACAAAAAGATACACCGAAGTTCTAATTCCAGTACCTGTGAATGTAACCTTATTTGAACACAGGGTCTTTGCTGATGTAATTAGTTAAGGATCTCCAGATGAAATCATCCTGGATTTAGAGTAAGCCCTGAATGCAATGACTGGTGTCTTTATAAGAGGAAAGGACACTCAGAGGAAAGGACACACAGAGACACAGAGCAGAAGGCCATGTGAAGATAGAGGCAGAGAGGAGCTGCAGGCCACAGAGCACCGAGGACCACTGCGAGCCTCCAGCAGCTAGGAGGAGGCAGGAAAGATTCTCCCCTAGAGCCTTCCAAGGAAGTACGGCCCTGCTGTCACTTTGATTTCTGACTTCAGGTCTCCAGAGCTGTGAGAGAATAAATTTCTGTTGTTTTCAGCAACCTAGTTTGTGGAAATTTGTTATGGCAGGCCTAGGACACGAAATATACAGGCCAATCCTATAAACCCACCCAGAGCACCAATAATATTTAATTTAGACCATGTCCCAAAGCTATGTCAGAAGAGCAAAGAACTAAAATTATAAGCTGTAATTTTTCATGCTGGGTGCAGTGGCTCATGTACTTGGGGAGGGCGAGGAAGAACAATGGCCTGGGCGACATAGCAAATTCTCTCTACAAAAATATTTTAAAAAATAAAAAATGTGCTGGGTGTGGTGGTGCATGCCTGTAGTCCTAGCTACTCAGGAGGCTGAGGTGGGAGGATCACTTGAGCTTGGGAGATCGAGGCTGCAGCTGCAGTGAGCTAGATTATGCCACTGCAATCCAGGCTGGGCAACAGAGTGAGACCCTGTCTCAAAAAAAAAATAAAATTGTAAATCTAGTTTAAGATAAAATCAAAATACTAAATGATGTCATGTAGAGAAAAGCCAAGAGCTGTTAAAATTGCACAGTGGTACAAGTATTTTGAAAAACTACCTGGTATTATCTTGTAAAGCTGAAGATGTGCACATCCTTTCACAGAACATGACTACAGTAGAGAAACTGTTGCACATATTGACAAGTGTAAGAATCTTTCTCAAACATCGTTGTTTCTAATAGCCACAAACTGGAAATAATCCAAATGTCCATCAACAGCATAACAATATACAAAATGCACTGTATATTTACAAATAAAATGTTATTCTACAGTGAATATTCATAAAATACAGCTACATGCAACCAACTGAATGACTTTTTCAAACATGATGTTGAATCAAAGGCAAGAATATACATATGTATATATATATATATACATATAGCATGATTTCATTTATATAAAATCTTGAAGATAGTTCTCAAATGTAAATTATGTTATTTGAAGATGAATACTTGGGTAGTAAAACTGTAAAGCAGAACAAGATAGTGATTAATATAAAATTCAGGATAGTAGCTAACTCTAAAAGGGAAGGTCAGTGGTTATGATAGGGAAGAAATACACAGGGCTGAGGGGAGGGGTGGGCTTTTATTGCATTGATAACTTTCTTTTTATTTCGTTGGGTGGTGGTTTTGTGATTATTTATATTTTTTCTATACCTTTATTCATTATATTATTTTTCTTAATATAAACTATTTTTTAAAATAATTTTTTTGAAAAATGATAAAGGATAAAAAAGGAACAAAAAATATCAACAGAAGCATAAAATGTTCCTATTCACGTTGAAGAAATGTGTATGTTTTCATGTGGTTCTTTCACATTATCTTTCCTGCTCTGGTTTCCAGCCTGTCAGCTAAACTCTTGTCAAGGCATTTTCTACTGAAATCCACGGTTCTGGAAAAGAAGGGAATGTGATGGAAAAGCTCAGCAAATCTCAACTGTTACCTTGGGGTCAGGGCTCTATGGAGAATGTGGTTTAGCTTTGCCACAGACTACCTCCCCCAAAGCTGCTAAGTGGTGACAGAGCTTGGTTGGGGATTGGTGTAGGTGCAGAAAGAGGCCAGCTAACATGTAGCACTTTGCCAATTCAGAACGGATTTTCACGTGGTCTTGTCTGAGCCTCACCCTAGCTCTGTGAGAACACCTTACTGCTGCTGTTATACTTTTGAGATTGTTAATGCTGCAGAGAAATTAAGGGACTTGTGCAAAGTCACAAATTAGGGAAATGACAGTGCCAGAATTGGAAACCAAGTTTTCCCCAGTGGAATTTGGTGACCTTTAATGGAGTTCTGTGGCAAATTTACTGACATCCACATAAATGTGGCAGGAGACTCTGCAGTACTTAACTGATTTGATGCAAATGTCTCAAACTCAGGCTGTCATGGTGGGCTGTGAGCCAGCAGGCTCTGATGGGCTGTCCAGAACACAGACATGGTTTAAGCTAATCACAGTACATCTGAAGACATTAGTCTTTTGTAAGGCTTGTACATATGGCATAGTCAGAAGACAACATTAATATTGCTCATGAGGGTTTGTACTGCTTAGCAAAGTCCTTCGTTTCTCTTCCATGTGGTTGATATTCCATACCCTCCCAAACATTACACACTCCTAGCCAAACCTCAGTTCTTTATAAACTCAAAGCAATGAATCACTTAGTAAATCATTTCAGATAAATAGACAGAATCAGATCTCCGTTTGGATTTCCTGCTGAAGAAAGTAGTGTGCCGACCCTGGCTATTTCATATTGCTGCCCTCCATGCCAATAAATCAACCACTTGCAATATTGTTTCTAAGAAATCTCCCAGGTCGTCGTGAGGTTTCAACAGAGGATATATGAAAAGACTGAACAAATATGATTGTTTCATCCTCATTTCTTTCCTCAAAGCTTTTGCAAATTTAAGCAAGCTATTTTTTTATGATCTCCTCAATGAATTGCAGAAGTCTATTGAAACCATTCCTGGTATTAGTACTTTGACTTTAGGTGTCAAAAGGTAAAGTTTGCATCCCTTAAATGCTTTGATAAAGTAACTTTGAAATAAAATATAAGCTACAATAAAATCCAAACTGAGGTCCCAGTCAGCATTAAGATGGATATATTTCTCTTGCTTTTTCAAGATGATTCTATCATACACAATGCATTTGAGACATAGGCCAATGAATTAGTAATTTTGCAGAATGGTAAAGCTTCGTTAAAATCACTAGAATCTGGTAGACAGAGACAAATCAAAGATGGCATTGTAATGAAACAGCACATGGTTGCAATGGTGTTTGCTTATTATCTATTAAGCTGCATGTGATGCTGGATTTAGGCATAATTTACTCCCTATTCTAAGATGGGACTGGTCACCTTGTGGATATGTAAAAGAGCATTCAGGTCACCTCCTTTTCTCTCCTCAGCCCTGCCTGAGAGTTACCTTCATAGTACAATTGCACAGGCCTTTATCACCTAAAATAATCTCTCCATTGTCACCATGCTTCCATTTCAAATGAAAAACAAGAAGAAAACGAGTTGGAACCTTAGTACAGTATACCTCATTTGAAGAATTAGGAAGCCCTACATCTAGAGTTTGTCTTTTAAGTTAGGATGGCACACGTATCATATAATCGATATATAAGAATAAGGCAATTATTTTATTTTTAGTGTCTGGTGGAGTCCAAGGAAAGGCCATGGAGAGAATGGCTGTCATCTGGAGCTGGAATCTAGCATGACTGAGGTGCATGACTCTGGTGAACCAAGTAACAATGGCATTCCTTTTCTCAGTGCTCTCACTGTGCGTTTACATCTAAATGAAATTGTCTTTGATATGAGAATATACAAAGATATAAAGAGGAACAAATCAGTCCGGATTCTTAGACCAATAATTGCAGAAAAATTTAAGTATTTTTACACCTACTGGAAACCTTCACTTGAAATTGCTGGAAGACTTAGAACCCATAAACCTCAGTTTCCAAATCTGTAAAATAAGGATAATAACTGTACTTTCTTTACTGGGTTGCTGTGAAGGTTTAATGAAATCATATAAAGTACTTAACAAGAAGTTGAGTACCTAGTAATTGCTTAATAAAAGTTACAATTAATGATTATATTTGCATTGTTTCCCAGCTAAAATATTCATTTGCATATAAAATTTTAAGGTTAATAAGGTGAAGCAATAATAAAAATACCATATACCAGAATATTGTGTTGCAACCTAAATATCGATTTTTCCTCCATTATGTCATTTACTGTTCACAGACATCTCAAGGTTCTATATTTCCGTGTTCCAGGAGAGAAAACCAAAACTAATCTCTCTGGGGAGTTCATACACAGAAAGCAGAAATATTGCATTGCACTTGTATAAATTGATTGTATTAAAGACTGTCTCAAACATTTCCAAAAATTGGTTTCAACTTTTTTAAACTAATATGACTTTGAACTATATTTTATAATTTTGATCATGACAAAATGTTCTTAAATTGTACTCTGACCATTCAGTCAGAAGTGCCATATTCAAGTAAGCCTCTTTCATTTTCCTTTTGTGTGTCTTTCTTTAAAAATAAGGAGAATATTAAAGGTATATGTGCAGGAATATGTCACGTGTGCAAAGGCACCTCATGGGATTTTAATCAGCAGGTATCTCAGGGACCTTTTGCAAGAAGGATGAAATGGAGGTGCAAATAAGGTAGTGGCTTTATTTTGTTTGCTTGTTTTCAACAAAAGCTTTATCCAATTAACCATGGGATAGGTTAATGATAATTTCTTACAGAACAACTGTGTTAAATCTATGAAGTGTTGCTATTTTCATGGGAATTGGGGGGTGATTAAAAAGATTTAATGGTTCCTTAAAATAGCAAATGACACCTAATCTAGGTAAAGCAATGAGCTAGCTCCATCCTGCCTGAACAATAGAATCACCTGGAGCTTTCAGAAATGACTCAAGTCTGCACCTCACCCACAAGAAATGGAGACTTAACGGGTCTGCAGCGGGGCCTAAACACTGATATGACGTAAAAGCTCTTCAGGCGTTTCTAGTCTGCAGCTGTGGTTGGGAGTTACTTTGATGTTACTGTGATAGATGAATAAAAGACAAAATTTAATGTCCCATCAAGGAGCTTCAAATCCTGCTTAAAGAAAATATACTTCAAAAATTTATTGATATACTTTCAACAGGTGCTGAATGACCTGATTGCTGATAAATTTCATATTTCTTTCTCTTCCTTTCTCTCCTGTCTCATCTATCCCTCTAGCAATAAAATGACTGGAGGCCAGAGACAGAGAAATTATACCTTAGAATAAATTGTAGAAATTTCAAGGGCCACTTAGTAATATGTTTTGTTGCAGGTACCCTTAATTACTCAGAAAAGACATTTTTTTGAAAAAGGATGCCCAACAAGTATCCCCAAAAAATGTACCCAAAAAGTGTCCAACTACAATTATAGATGCTTAGGGAGTCTGCTAATTGTGAGAACTGAGCATTAAGAATGGACTGTGTTGGCTTTATTTAAGGCTCTGTTGATGCTCATGTGTTTGGTGATAAAAGGGAATCCAGGGCTTTCCCATTAGTTTTATCTTCATCTCTGCCGTCCTCACTAAACCACAGGAAGCTATAATGTGAACCCAGTTTTGTTATACCATGAGGAACCAAGCTTGCCCTGTTCATAGGCTATGCCAAAAGCTGGAAAAGTCCCCGTGGAGGAAATGTGATTCCAATTTGGGTATGAAAGTACAATTCCCCCCTGCCAGGTTTAAATTGAGAGCATATTACTCATTTTTAGTTAATTTCTCAGCCTACAGAATAATTTGGCACATGTGTGCAGTATGTGTTCTCTCAGCTGCTTCCTTAGGGACCCCGGCCTTGACGGGATAGTCGTAATTGGGGGGAAAAGTTAATCAATGAGAATCGTGGTTAAACACTCTATTTATGTAAGAAAATACGTGTATTAAAATTAAAAGCAGAGCAATCAAAACAAGAGGAGCAGATTAATACATTTTTCTTATCTCTGACAATCTTTTTCTTAATGTCAAGGCCTGAAGCCCATGAAGGTACAGAAATGAAATGCAATGGTTCTCAAAGCACGTGTTCTGAGAAGAAAGAGGATCGTAGTAAGTCAGTGTGGGAGAAGCCATCCTGTTCATGGGGAAACTAAACCTTCCCATGGATTTTAAATTCAGATCCTTTCTCATAGATTTCTTATTGGTGTACTGAAAACTTCAAAGGAGATTTTTCAGGCTTTTCTTTTCATCCCTTTTAAGTGTATTCCTTTTTAACATGAAAAATTATTGCCATCTCCTATGTGACTGTAGTCTCCCTAATTCAGAAAAATACACAATGCTCAAAAGCTCCTATGTACGTATGTATGTATAATACACATTTATACATTATATATACTATGAAGTGCAATTGCATTTGCATACATTTGAAAAATAGTGGTAGATACAAGGTCACCTAAGTTTCTCCCTGTTTTGTAGTCAATGGTCATTCTTTCCTTTGACAAACAAAATACATTCCTAGGTAGCCATCCTAGCTGTCTGCGGTTCGCTCACTATGTTCTGAAGATTCCTGAGTAGGTTGCTTCTTCCTTCCAACTCGGTTTCTTTTTCCCCGCAACTCATCTGACTTTCATGACTGCCATCCTTCCATCTGATTTCATCACCCCAGGCATGGACACAAATTCCTCCCCTTCATTGGCTAAAATGTTACCCGTACAATAGTGTTGTGCATAAATAAGACTTTCGGTAAAGATCTGGGAGTAACAGCAGGGTGCTATCACACCACAGCAAGGGAGGCCATTTAAAATTGAACATCACACATTGTGTTGGCCAGTCATGTGTCAAGCATGCCTTACCAAATATTATTTCACACTCCCACCCCCTGCCCCTTTCTTCTCAGGATCTAGCTGGGATCTGCTCTCTTCTTTTTAGCAGATGGAGGAGTTGGAGTGCAGTGGGGAGATCATAGTTAGCTGCAGTCTCAAACCCCTGGGTTCAGGTGATCCTCCCACCTCAGCCTCTCCTGAGTAGTGATCTGCTGTCTTCTAACCAATAATTATTTTAACCAATAATTTCTCCTACATCTAGCACCCCTTTATCAACAACCTTTCCTCCTGCCTCAGACCCTCCCCCACAGCAATGAGGATTCCAACTTAGCTTGTCTCTGACATCGGGGTAAATTGAAAATCTCTATTATTTCATGACACAGAGAAATTTCAATCCCTTTGTTATTATTGTGTGTTTTATGATTAATATAAAAAGCCCCATTATGTGTCTTTCTTCCTGCCCTCTCAGAGCAATCTGCCCATACTTCAGTCAATTGTAGCACAGTAGCTTTTTCTCCCTGCTATAACTATGACCGACAACTATTTATTTGGCTTACAGCAGCATTGGTGCACCTCTTAGAACCCCCTTCAATGTGCCCCATTAAAGATCTACAGCCACCCCAGCTTGGAAACAGCTGATCTCTACAACAGTAAAACTCGTGAGTGGGCAAATGAGGTCTGTGACACAGTTCACTTTTGGTGAAAACACGCTTTCCTCTTTACTTTATCATGAATTTTGCTCCTTGTTCTTTTCCTCACCTGCTTTCTTTAATAAAGATGATGAACACTTACAGAGAAAAAGTAAAGGAAGACCTGTAGCAAGGTGTTAACTCTCCCAGAAGCACCGCATTTGAATGTGCAACACAATCTTAAGCCAAGACAGTTTAAACAAAAAATGAGTGTCTTTGGCTGTGAGATATTAATCATCCCAAAGCAGAGGGAGAATATGTCTTTGGGGGAAAGGGGCCTTCCCAGCTTCCTGGAATTGTACAGTATAACATGACTTCCTATTCCATCTTTCTATATGCCTCCCTTTTGTAGACTAGCTTACTTTAACAAAAGAATTGAAATGGATGAGGTCCAAGTGAAGTCATACCTTCCTCTTCTCGTCCATAGTACTGGATTAATAGCTCAAGCCTGTGCTTCTTTCTTTATCCTCCAAACTGCCCACAGCCCCTACTTCCTGCTAGGTATTCAGCAGATAACCAGTGCTCAGTGCTCTGGTCTTATAAAGCACTGATTGATTTCTGAATGTTAGAAATATGCATCTCTCTTCCTTACAAAAGTTAATTAAATTGTAAACTCGCCAATCATGCTGTACACTTGCATTTTGGAAGAGTGCCAATTAAATATTCAGCGACTGGCATAATGTCGCAGTGGTTACAATCGTGAATCAGAATCAGACCCCCTGGGTCTCCAACTCAGCTCTGACATGTACCGGGTGACCCAGGGAAGGTTATTTAATACATCTGGCATAGTTTCATCATATGTAAAATGGGAATAATAAAGTACCTGCTTCTTGGGTTTGCTGCAGGAATAAAACAAGGCAATTTCTGTTTAATGCTTAAAATGGTGTATGGCAAGAAATTCAAATATGGCTTTGTATGTCTGCTTTCACTGAAGTATCTGTGTGATAGCTGTAGGTTTCAAGGTGATGGTAAAGCTGAACTTAGAACATACAAAGAAAAGTGCAATGAATTGGCTACACAGCTCTAGAAGTTCTAGCTTCTTCAAAACTATAAAATGCAGAGGGGAGAAAAAAAGGAACTAGTTATGAAGAGATTTATTTGGAAAGATCTGTTGCTGACTGGTCCCTAGAATTTGTCTGGGAGTGGATGGCTGGGATGTGTGGTCTTGTTACCTTTTAGCCCACTGTTTTGTAAATTTGAACTGAGAAAGGAATTCAATGTGAATATTTTGAGACCTGCCTATACCGTGTCTGGGGCTGAAGAACATTGTGGATCTCACTCCTGCTTCAGGGATCAGGAAAGGTAAATAAACAGAGATGGGCTCAGTGCCTGGGAAACAGAGGCAGGACCATTTTTATGGGTTAGAGACAGCCTGCGGAGCAAGTATTTGTCAGAGCAAAGGGTTTAGTTGCTTTTCTGAGGAGCAGATGCTGACTATCCAGGAGAGAGAAAGTTACCTGGTACATGTACAGTCACACAGAGTTGCCTGAGAGGGATGGAGGACCCCAGCAGCTAAAGCCAGAGGGGAGCATCAGTGTTTGAAAGGAGTCACATGCAACCACCCAGTGCAAGGATGCATTGGTGTGTTCAAGGTTATTGCAAGAGGGTGAGTGCACCTAGCTTCTGCAATGAGATTTGGGAAGAATCAAGCAAGTGTTCCAGAGAGATATAGACAGATTTTTCAACATTTGCCAGGCTGGAGACTCAGCAAAGAGTTTCAGTTAGAATCCAAAGACAGTCTGCTGGCAGAATTCCTCCTGGCTTGCAGGAGGTCAGTCTTTGTTCTATTAGGGCCTTCAACTGATTGGCTAAGGCTCACAATGTTATGGTGTTCAATTTGCTGTACTCAGAATGCACTGTTTTAAATGTCAATCTCATCTAAAAAAAATACCTTCACAGAAACATCAAGAATAATAATTGACCAAATATCTGGGTACTATGGCCTAACCAAATTGACACATAGATTTAATCATCACAGATGGGTTGCAGGGAAGAGTATGCAAGCAAGTGAATGAAAGAGGAAAGCCAGACACATCCCTTTCCCACTTTGGGTTTGCGGAACTTGGGAAAGCAGGGAGGACTTGACGTTAAATTACACGGTGACTTTGATTTATTATGTACTAGATCTTCTGATTGTTCACATAAAAGTATCTGTACAACCCCAAGTAGACTTAGGATGCTGGTAAAGAAAGTACTGATACTGCCCAAGCAGGCTAAAATATTAAACTTTTTAAAAAGAATAGCAGTATACCAAAAAAAACGGAACAAAACAAGTCTTTCGATTACCCCAGAAGTATTCATGCATAGTATACCAGTTACATGCACCTGGTACATGGTAAACATTCAGCAAATACTCACTACTATTACTACATATACATACACATATGATAATTTCCAGTAAATCCCACACAAAATCTATATACTTTTATATATATGGTTTTTTGATGGTTCCACATAAATTTAGACTGACGGCCTGAAATAGCAGCAAACATTCAGCAAAAAAACCAATTTTTAAATGTATTTACTTCTTTTGTAAAATTATATTCCAAAGATTGCTTTATGTTTTGATGTTTCACATAACTATATTTCCTGAACTTTGCTCTGTGGTGGGATTTATATATATAAACTTTAAAACTTAAACATACTCATGCTATGTCTTTGTTGATGTTCATTATTGTCTGTAGTCTTGGAGCACTATTGACTCTTAGGTGAACCAATAATCATCTTGCTGAATTGAAGTAGGAAGTTGTAATTAAAGAATTTGCTTACTAGTCTACCTTCCCTTGCTCCTTCTCCCTCTGAGTTTCTCTCTTCACAATATACCTGCCTACTCTGCTACTCTGGATTCCAGAAAACATAGTTGCGTGTGGTACTCAAAGTAAGTCGATCAGTCAGAGACATCAGTTAGCTTGACCCAATACTGGTGTTCAAAGGTCCTTTTATAGATGTTATTCTCTAGGCTGTACGAACAGCCTTTTAAGAGATGCTTTTAAGGTTGGAGATGAAGATCAATAAGAATAAATTGGGTGCCCAGATCTAAGGATGTAAAAGGCTTGCATTAAGACGGCAATTGGCTTTCTTACACAAATAAACCCTTTCAGTTACAGCTTTAGTGGGTTTAATTTAGCCATGAGCTTCTTGATAATCATTTTTTTCTTGTTTTTTCTTGTATTTGTTTGTTTTATTATCTTTTATTCAAGGGAGTTAGGACTTGATTACACGAGACTTAACCCAAGATTGTTATATAAATTTTGACTTTACTTTTAAAAATTTCTGCTAAAGCACTAGCTGAAGTAGTTCTTACTTCAAAATAAAATGTATGTGTAAACTCATGGGACCTATAACCCAAAATAAATTACTGTAGTGGGTCACTGGTTAAAAAGAGAGGTGGACTGGGGATGGAATTGTGTTGTCTTACTTTCCGGAACAATAAAGGGAAAGACTTGGCTGCATCCTTTGGCAACGTACTGCATGTTAACTAATTTGTGGTGAAGGTTTAAACAAAATTCATGCGGGAAAATCAAGCAGTTTCAAGAGCCCCATTCTCATTCCATCAGACCACTTTGAAAATAAGACACTGCCAAGTTTTTGAAAGTGGGGTAGAAAGAATGTAAGTCTCGCCATTGACTTTTCAATGCTAAATAAGTCAAAAGGCTTGCCAATTGGAAGACAGAATGAACACCAGCATCCACAATGATGCCGGCAATGGCCCTGGTAAATGTTGAGTCTCGGAAATTGAAATTGTGACACTGTACTCATATTAAGCAGCAGGAAGGAGATGATCCTCAGAATTCTGTCAATTTAAGTGTCTGATACCCTTTCAACAACCTGTGCCTTTTTGTTAAAACTCAGAAAAGCACTTTATAAAAAAATAAAGTGTGTTTTTTTTAATCAGTTCTCTAGGCTGTAAATCATAACCAATTCATATTTCTTCAACATCTGCTAGGAGCTGTAACATACATTAATAAAATTGGGTAGTAAATTTAGCATAAAGAAGAGATACAAAAAAGAAGGCACACTTACATGAAAATATGAAAAGAAAGAATGGACTTGGAAAGAAAATCTTCTAGAGAGAAGAAAGCTGCCCATCCAATTTCCACCCTGGTATTGCCCGTGATTGCATCACATTGCAAACTCTCATTGCCAGGCTTGTCCATTTTCTTTTTGGGTCCTGAGATCATTTTATCACAGTTTCTAAGATGTCACCTTCTCCTCTCTTTCAGGGAAGGGCTCCCCATGCCTCTGAAAGTTACTGAAAGGCAGGTCCTACTGAAGCCCCAAGAGCTGAAAATCTGAGAAGGTAGTGAAAGTGACCAGAGCTCTCCCTGCCAGCAGTCATAGGGCTTTCCAAGTAGGCAACCAGGAAAGTAAACATGCCAAGGGGCAGAACAGGAGGTCCTCTCTGGGTAAACAAAGCATGCTTCCCACATGACCTCTGTCTGACCTCCCAAGGGAAAAAGCCAAAGTAGTCAGCACCTCCAGCCAGTGGAAGCAACATCGGTGACAATTGGCGCAGGAACTCCCGGGCTTTCTGAAGGAGCAAAGAAATGACACAGCAGTATTTCTAGACAGGGTGAAATGATGATCATACTGCAGAGGCTCCTTTATTCTCAGTCTCTTCTCCATTACCTGTCACATTTCCCTAACTGGTAAATATCAGTTAGACTTATGGAGATTTGTTATGAACCCAGTTATTCTGTTGCTCTTAAATGGGATGAGTATTTACAATCTGTAACATGTGATATATGAAGATGCAAGGCCTGTTAATTTTAATTGGGTTCCCGAGTAGGTCAAAGAATGCTGAGCTGCTCTTGCGGTTTTGTGGGCTTGTTTCAGCAGAGGAACTAGCAGCAATCACCATGAACACCCTTCTTATAAAAATGATAAATAAATACGGAATGAGACTTTGGGGCCAAATTGGCATTGGTATCATTTAATTTCTTTGTGTGTTTCCAGCCAATTAAATGAATGGGTGCCTGTGGTAATTGAACTCACTTTGATAATTAGGCCTTAAGGATTCTTAAATTACTGAATGTTAATGAATATTTCCCAAGTATGGTCCCTGTATCCTAAGTGCTGCCAAATGGAATTTGCCTCTTTATCATTAAAATGTAGTTCTTTTAAAAATTCCACATAGGAAATAGAAACTAGAAACAGAGGCCGAGGCGGGCGGATCACAAGGTCAGGAGATCGAGACCATTCTGGCTAATGTGGTGAAACCCCGTCTCTACTAAAAATATAAAAAATTAACTAGGCATGGTGGCGAGCGCCTGTAGTCCCAGGTACTCAGGAGGCTGAGGCAGGAGAGTGGTGTGAAGCTGGGAGACGGAGCTTGCAGTGAGCCGAGACCGCACCACTGCACTCTAGCCTGGGTGAAAGAGCAAGACTCCGTCTCAAAAAAAAAAAAAAAAAAGGAAAAAAAAAGAAACTGAGGACTTAGTTCTGTTGCTTCTCTTTACAGGTTTGAGCAGGTTGATGAAATTTAAATCTAAGAAAAATTTTACTATGAAAGAGACATAGTTGAATTTACCCCTTGGAACTTGGAAGGCCATATATAACAGTATGCAAATTAAAGCCATATGCAAGGAGGAAACTGCTGCTTCACCAAAGCTACCTACAAATGCTGTTCAGCTGACAAATGCCCACTATATTTACCAATAATTTGAGGGTACGGATGGGGAAAGGTCTGGGCTATCGTGGAGGTGTACTCTCCAGGCAGAAATGTACAATGGGCCTGCTCTGGTGATTCCACCAGGAGATGAGTCATACCAAGCATTCTTATCTGAAAGCTGTGGTTTCCATTTTTCTTGGTATTATTTTACAAACCTTTATTATTTGTCCCTCAGGCTTACAGTGCAAATCAGTAAACTGAAACACACTTAGATCAAATACTTACTGCAAACACTGAGTAATGAGGGAAACATTTCTAGGGCATGCTTTATTTGTGCTTATTTATTTCATATATTTCAAACATTCAAACATTTCAAATATTCAAATATTTTCTTAAAAATCTATAACAAAGCTCTTACATAATCTTCCTTAGAAGGGGAAGGTGTAGGGGGGCAGAAAATTAGCTTCTCTTAAACATCTTTGCTACGGTCTGAATGCCCTTCAAATTCATATGCTGAAAATCTAAACACCAATGAGATAGTCTAAGATGGGGCCTGTAGATGGTGATTATATCATAAGCCCTCATGAATGGGATTAGTGGTCTTATAACAGAGGCCCCAGAGAGCTACCTTGCCCCTTTTCTGCTATGTGAGATTACAGTCAGAAGTGGGCCCTCCCCAAATATCAAATCTGCTGGCACCTTGATCTTGAACTTCCCAGTTTCCAGAACAGTGAGAAATACATTTCTGTTGCTTACAAGCCCTAAAGTTTATGGTATTTTGTTATAGTAGCCAAAAGGAACTAAGAAAATTATTTAGGTCTCAGACCCTGTACTGAATCCACACATATGATTTCATCACTAAAAAGTCATGAGATTTTGAGGGGTGGAAACTGCATTTCTGCTAAACAAAACCATGTGGGACATTAGGGATAATTCAATATATTCTACACTAAACCAATCTATTATTTAAATCAACAAATTCACACTCATTCACTGAGGTCAAACGAGCCCTGCCATTTCAACACCATTTTAAGTGAACCTCCAAAGCCTTGATCATATCTCTGCATAAAACATGGATAATAATCCTGCCAAGAAGAGATGTTGTAAGAACCAAGCTTCATAACATGAAAAAAGCCACAGCAGAGCTCCTGGTATTTGATAAATGCTACTTGCTCTCTTTCCTTTTTCCCTTCTTGACAGAGTAAGGAATGTCCACCTTTGTTGCATGCTCAAATTTGGTCCTAAATAAATTTTAATTGCACCATCTGATGTAAATAACATTAAATGTATGAGTCATTAGTATTCAAATCACAAAGATTTGAATAAGGTTTTGAGTGTTTTTATAAGGTTCTCCTGCCCTTCCCCATATGGAGATATTTTTGTTCCAGCCATTTTATCTATATTCCTCCCCTTCAAAGCTTGCATAACATTTGTGATTACTTCCCATTGGTCAGAAATTAGTTATTTGGCCTCACTTAGATACAAGAAAGCCTAGTGTGTTAATCAGGGTTCTCCAGAGGGACAGAACAAATATCTATTGGTTATATATATATATGAGAAAGGGAGTTTATTAGGGAGAATTGAATTGGCTCACACAATCACAAAAGTGAAGTCCCATGAGAGGCTGTCTGCAAGCTGGAGAATGAGAGAAGCCAGTAGCATGGCTAGCTTGGCAGCCAGGGAAGCCTTTGGTAGCATTACTCACTCCAAGTCTAAAAGTTTCCAAACCAGGAAAGCAAACAGTACAACCCTCACTCTGAGGCCAAAGGCCTGAGAGTTCCCAGAAGGCCACTGGTGCAAGTCCCAGAGTACAAAGGCTAAAGAACCTGGAATTTGATGTCCTAGGGCAGGAGAAGAAAAGGGGTACTGCTCTGGAAAAGAGAGAGAAAGAGAGAAAAAAAAGGAAGCAAGAAAAAGAAAAAAAGAAAAGCAAGCAAGCTGAATGTCTTCCTTCTTCCACCTCCTTTGTTGTAAGTATTCCTGCAGCCCATTAGATGGTACCCACCCACATTGAGGGCAGGTCTTCCTCTCTCAGTCCACCGACTATCCTGTCAATCTCCTCTGGCAACACCTTCACAGATACACTCAGAATTAATGCTTCGCTGCCACTGAGCCATCCCTCAATCCAGTCAAGTTGACACCTAATACTAACCATCATACCTGGAAAGTACAGTTTTTATATAGGAGGCCATGTGTCAGCTAAAAGTCAGATTCTATTACTGATAAAGAAGAATCTATTGAGTGTCAAGCGCTACTCATTGCCACAAGAGGTATTACAAATTTCAAAAGACATAAAGGTAGCTTGAGTTTTAGATATATTTTGAAGGTAGAGGCAAATAAATTTATTGATTAATTGAATATAGAGTATGAGAAGAATCAAGGATGTCTCAAAGGGTTTGGGGTATAAGCAATGAAATGAGAGTTGCCTTTGAAAGAGCTGGAGAAGACAGATGGGGAGTAGATTTTTAGGAGGGCTAAACCAGGGTTCCTTTTGTGGTTTAGTGTTTGAGATATCAGTTACACATAAAAGGAGAGATGCACAAAGACAGATGATCTATAAGTCTAGAGAGTTCAGAGAGAAGGTCTGGATTGGAAAATTGATGTGGGAATCATTAAGGAACAGAAGAAAAGAGTTTCAAGTTCAGAGTGTGGGAAGCCCTAATATTTACAGATCTAAACAAAGGAAAAAACCAGCAGGAAACACTAAGAAGCTGCAACCAGTATTGTGTCCAGAATTGGTGGGTTCTTGGTCTCACTGACTTCAAGAACAAAGCCACGGACCCTCGCAGTGAGCATTACAGTTCTTAAAGGCAGTCTGTCTGGA
Source organism: Homo sapiens (assembly GCF_000001405.40). Lineage (NCBI taxonomy): Eukaryota > Metazoa > Chordata > Mammalia > Primates > Hominidae > Homo > Homo sapiens. Next base: position 150,170,494 of record NC_000002.12, read on the forward strand.
CAGCCTTCCTTCTGATGTTCAGATGTGTTCAGAGTTTTTTCCTTCTGGTGGGTTCGTGGTCTCACTGGCTTCAGAAGTGAAGCTACAAACTTCACAGTGAGTGTTACAGCTCATAAAGGCAGTGTGGACCCAACGAGTGAGCAACAGTAATATTTATTACAAAAAGCAAAACAACAAAAGTTCCACAACGTGGAAGGAAAACCCAGTAGGTTGCCACTGCTGGCTCAGGCAGCCAGCTTTTATTCTCTTATCTGGCCCCACCCACATCCTGCTGATTGGTCCATTTTACAGAGAGCCGATTGGTCTGTTTCACAGAGAGCTGATTGGTCCATTTTGACAGGGTGCTGATTGGTGCATTTACAATCCCTGAGCTAGACACAAAAGTTCTCCACCTCCCCGCTAGATTAGCTAGATACAGAGTGTCCATTGGTGTATTTACAACCCCTGAGCTAGAGACAGAGTGCTGATTGGTGTATTTACAATCCCTTAGCTATACATAAAGATTCTCCAAGTCCCCACCAGACTTAGGAGCCTATCTGGCTTCTCCCAGTGGATCCCGAACTGGGGCCGCAGGTGGAGCTGCCTGCCAGTCCCGCGCAGTGCGCCCGCACTCTTCAGCCTTTGGCGGTCGATGGGACTGGGCGCTGTGGAGCTGGGAGCAGTGCTCTCGTCGGGGAGGCTCGGCCAGGCAGGAGCCCATGGCGGAGGTGGGGCGGGGGAGGCTCAGGCACGGCGGGCTGCAGGTCCCAAGCCCTGCCCCGTGGGGAGGCAGCCCAGGTGCTAAGCCCCTCACTGCCCGGGGCTTCCGGGCCGGCCGGCCGCTCAGAGTGCGGGGCCTGCCGAGCCCACGCCCACCCGGAACTCGCGCTGGCCCGCAAGCGCCGCGTGCAGCCACGGTTCCCGACAGCGCCTCTCCCTCCACACCTCCCCGCAAGCTGAGGGAGCCGGCTCCAGCCTTGACCAGCCCAGAAAAGGGCTCCCACAGTGCAGCGGCGGGCTGAAGGGCTCCTCAGGCGCCGCCAGAATGGGCGCCGAGGCTGAGGCACCGAGAGCGAGCGTGGGCTGCGAGGGCTGCCAGTATGCTGTCACCTCTCAGTATGATAGAAAAAAGTGAGTATGGCGAACTGGTGGTTAAAGAGAGGAAGAGCACTCGTGGAGGTCGTAGCTCCAGATATCAGGACAAAGCCCAGCTTGAGACTAAGGCTTAATCAGAGCGTTAGGGAACCCTTTCTTCCCCCACTGCCACCCTAACACACTCAGTAAAAATAGCCATGAAATTCAACCGGAAGAGCTGCAAGAGATAGATCATTATTGGGGGGCAGTACAAAGACAGATTAAAAGCCAATGAAATAACAGACATTGAGGAAATAATCTCTGTTAAATACACAGTATCACAAGAGGAATTTTAAGCCTGAGGGGCACTTGGGGTAATATAACATCAACAAACCCCCAAACTTAGCCCAACTCCTGAATAGATGAATATGAGCCCACAGTTAAGGTCCAGCTGAAGAAAAGGCATGCTCATCTCCAACGTTAAGAAGAGATTTATCTCTGTATCTGTAGCCCTACACAAGATGTCTAATTGTCAACTAAAAATTGCAAGGCATGTAAAAAGACAAATACACACACATACCCCCCCACACACTGAAGACGCAAGGTAATCCTTGGGAGCAGGCTGCATATGACACCACGGATATTGGGACTATCAGACAGAGAATTTAAAATAACTATGATTAATAGGCTATTAGCTTTAATGGAACAAAGTAGACAACATGTAAGATCAGATTAATTCAGCAGAGAGTGTAAAATCTAAGAAGGAATCAAAAGGAGAAGCTGGAAGACACAAATAGTAACAGCTATAAAGCCAGGCTCATCAGTAGAGCCCACACAGCTGAGGAAAGAATCAGTGAACTGCATGATAGGCCAGTGAAAATTATTCAAACTGGAATATAGAGAAAAGAGTGAATAAAGAACACAGCATCCAATAGTGTGGGACAATTCTAAACTGAGTAACATATGTGTAATTGAAATCTCAAAAAGAGAAGAAGGAGAAAATGGGGCAGAAGCAATATTTGAAAAAAAATGGCATAAAATTTTACAATATTAACAGACATAAAACCACAGATTTAAGAAGCTCACAGAATGCCAAGTAGGATAAATACCACACATGCACACACATACACACACACACACACGCACATATCTAGGTATATGGTATTTAAACTTTTGAAAACAAAAGTGAGAAAACGGTGAAGTTAGGAGAAAAATATATGTACTATCTACAGAGGAACAAGGCTAAAAATTAAAATATATTTCTATCAGAAACTATCCAGAACGAAAGAAAATGTACTGACATATTGAAAGTGCTGGGGATCTGAAAGTGTGTGTGCATCAGGGGGTGTCAACCCAGAATTCTATATTTAGTAAAAAGAAGTGAAAGGAAAACCAAAAATCATATCAAACAAAAATTGAAGCAATTAATTGCTAGACATATTCTGTAAGAACTGCTAAAAAAATTCTTCAGGCAGAGGAACTATGATATCAGTCAGAAACTTGAATCTGCACAAAGAAATGAAGAGAACAGGTACTGGAACAAATGACAGAAAAAAATTAATTTATTTCTTGCTTGAGATTGCTCTAAAAGATAACCGATATATAAAAGTGAAATAAATGACAACAATAGCACAAAGGATGGGTGAGGGAAATGGGACTATTCTGTTGTAAATACGTTTACGCCACATGCGAAGCAGTATAATGTTATTAAAATGTCAACTCAGTTTAATTTAACATGTATACTGTAAGCCCCAGGATAATCATTTAAAAGTTTTTAAAAAGAGGTTTAACTAGTAAGTCAATAAAGGAGAGAAAATGAAATCATGAAAATGCCCAGTTAACCCAAGAAAAAGCCAATAGGGAAGAATAAAGAAACAAAGAAAAATGTAACAAAGAGAAACAGCTAGCAAGATGTTAAATTTTAATCCAACCATATCGATAATCACTTTAAATGTAAATGGTCTACATGTACCAGTTTAAAGACAGATTGTCAGACTGAATAAAAAGCGGGACACAAATATGTGCTGCCTACAAAAATAAACATTTTAGGCTGGGTGCGGTGACTCATGCCTGTAATCCCAGCACTTTGGGAGGCCAAAGCAAGTGGATCACCTGAGTTCAGGAGTTCGAGACCAGCCTGGCCAACATGGTGAAACCCTGTCTCTACTAAAAAAAAAAAAAAAAAAGAAGTCAGACATGGTGGTGCACACCTATAGGCCCCGCTACTGGGGCAACAGTAGCTACTGAGGTTGAGGCAAGAGAATAGCTTGAACCTGGGAGGTGGAGGTTCCAGTGAGCCGAGATCGCGCCATTGCACTCCAGCCTGGGCGACAGAGCAAGACTCAGTCTCAAAAAAACAAAAAACAAAACAAAAACAACAAAAAAAACCATTTTAAACATAAAAACATAATGCGTGTCTTTAAATATTTAAATAGAAATAATATAAAATATGTAAAATGCATTTTATGTTTTAAGAAGTATTAAAATTTAAAATATTAATAAAGTGAGTCATTAACTTCCGTAGGTGCTGACTCTGTGTCATACACATGTGCATTTTACATTATCACAGCATCTTCTAAAGCATTCATGTTTTACTTTAGAGATTAGAAAACTGTGGCTTAAAAAGTTAAATAATATTTCCAGTGTTTTTTTAGCTAGAAATAGCACAGACAGGATTAAAACCCAGGCTGTCTGATTAGAAATCCTACACAATGATTCACTATTTGGAACTGCCACTAAGTATAGCTTTTGGTTATGAGTTTAATAATGCCTATGAGTCTATTGATTAAGAATGATTTCACAGTATTTTCTGGTTCTTCCCAGTGCACGCCTTGAGTAATTATGAAAACAGGTCTGTTTTATTATAGAAAAAGTGAAGGGTGATAGCATGACCTCAATTTGAAATAGTTACAGTTTTACATGCCAATATTTTATAGGTCTATAATAGCATATTTATAACTTTTTAACTATCCAATTTTACTTGGCCCCAGTGATCTTAACTTCTCATGCTCTCAAATTTTCTAGACACTAACTACATTATAATATTTATCTTACTCTTTGCATAATACTCTTTTGTTTAGAAAGTAAATATTGGCTAGAACACCACATACCTTTGCAATATCCAAGTTTCTATAAACTTAGCATAGGTATCAATTTTTTAAACACCTTATCTATTACTTGTATATGTTTTGAGTCCATTAAGCTACATAAAAAAATTTATGTAAAGATAAAGCCAGGAACTGGAAGTAATTTTTTGGGAAGCATTGACTATCGCCAAGAAATGTTTATATAAGAAAATAAAAGCCAAAAGATTAATAGGATGTTTTTACTTAAATGTTAAAGTTGTAAATTTTTTACTATAGAGTTTTACTTTAGGTATGATTGACTCAATAGCCAGCATAGAACAAAATCTTGTATTCTTTACTTAATAGTCACAAGGGTATATTTGGAATGAAAAACTTCACACTCATTTTTAGCTACAGATGGTTGTTGTAAAGAATACTAAAAATGGCCATAAAGCAATTGGCCAATAAACACACTAAAAACAATAAAGTGTATCTGGAACAAACTGGCTTTATAATAGCACATACCACCCATTGTAATCACCAATATCAGTTTCAGCAATAAACAAATGATATGAACTAGGACAGCTGTTAAATATTAATCAGTAATGCTAGGCTGTAACTAGAAGTGAGAAAATAAAACTTGGAAAAAATGTATTATCTGACTGACAGTGGGGCATGTCCTTGTATAGCTGACTAAGGATCACTCTCTGCTCTAGAATTTTTCTAACTTTTCAAGTCAATCTTCTGGTTTTTCTGATTGATTCTGGTGTCCGGTTGGTAAAATATATATTTGCTTGTGCTCTTTGGCCCCTAAAGCTATCACCATGCTCCATTTCATCCATTAGAGGGAATAACAAATTGGAACAAAAGAGCAATAGATATCACCCTGATTTTTCTCAGCTCAGGATAACTGATGAGCTGAGCTCTTTCTTCTCATTGCCCCAGACATGAACAAATCCCACGTCTACTTGTCTTTGTTTTCAAACTAGTATATGTGATTCCCACCAAAATCATTTTTTTCTATTGATAGTTAAATAAAATCCCTTTATTTAACATTATACTATACTATACTATACTTACTATATCTGATACTTACTATATTTTAATACTTTATGCTTAACATTGTAATAATATATGTGTGTGTGTATATGTGTGTGTGTGTGTGTATATATATATATATATATATATATTTTTTTTTTTTTTTTTTTTTTTTTTTTCTTGAGACAGAGTCTTGCTCTGTTGCCCAGGCCGGAGTGCAATGGCATGATCTTGGCTCACTGCAACCTCCACCTCCTGGGTTCAAGCAATTCTCTTGCCTCAGCCTCCCAAGTAGCTGGGATTACAGGTGCACACCACCACGCCCAACTAATTTTTTTGTAATTTTAGTAGAGGTGGGATTTCACCATGTTGTCCAGGCTGGTCTCAAACTCCTGACCTCGTGATCTGCCTGCCTCAGCCTCCCAAAGCGCTGGGATTACAGGCATGAGCCACCGTGCCTGGCCTATTATATTTCTTGAACACTTATCTGTTAGATACTAAAAAATCATTTTAGAGATATTTCTTAATTTAATGTTTACAACAGTTCTCTCAAGTAGGTTTTATATTGTCACCATTTTATGGGTGAAAAGAGTAAGAAATAGAAAAGTTAAACACCCCCCTCAAGAGTACCCAGCTAGTATGTGGTGAGCTTGCATTTAAATCCCCATGTAAGAGAGTGGCTCTCTCAATGAGGGCAAGGACTCTGTTCACTGTATCTCCACATTTCATAAGACTCGGCACATAGTGTTTATCAAGCATTAAGTGAATTATTTTAGGAATTTTAAATATTAGATCACTTAATAGAATTAACATAATTTCTCATGACTAGTTGTTTCCCCTTTGTTCTCTAGGAACATCTGAAACTTGTTTATTCATTCAATAATATTTATTTGGCCTTAATGTCTTCTATTTAGCATTGCAGTAAGAGCTGGGGAAAGCATGATGAACTCAGTGCACACTGTCAAAATGCTTACAGTCTTGAAGTCATTACTTTTGTGTTCAATGTGCCACAGGACCCTTAAGGAAGGATGATGGGGAGTCAGGAAAAGCTTCATAGGGAGAAGGATATTTGATACAAGACTTGGAACCCATTAACCAATTGGAACTGATGTATCCAAGGGGAGCAGTGCAATTAAACACACTGAATGTGATTAGCCAAGGAATCATTTTGCATGACTGTAACCTCAGGCATGAGTAAGGAGAGGACTTTAAGAGAGACCGGCTGTCAGGATTCAAGTCATAGACAAGCTTGTTGACTACAAAAAGGCACAGGTTTAAGACTTTAGCAATGGCAAGCTGATTGAAAACGTTTAAACACAGAGATATGTCATGATTGGATTTGCTGTTATAATTTTAAGACAATTAATAGCTTATTCAATAGTAGTTCAGATGAGGTATTATAGGTACCTAAGCCCTAAGGAAGAGTTAGTGAAGATGAGAAGAGAGTTAGAATTATTAGCACTTAGACTTGACACAATATGATGGGGAAAAGGATAAATTAAAAATATTGGTATTAGCATCTGGTGTGGGAAGCCTTGTCATTAAATAAGATGAGAAATTAACAGAGAAGGAAAAGATTGCCTATATAATTATGAGATAGTGACATTTTAGTCAATAATGGGGATAGAATATATGATGGTGGCCCCAGAGGATTATAATGTAGGTGAAAAATTTTTATCACCTAGCAATGTCATAGCCATCATAATATCATAGTGCGATGCATCACTCATGCATTTGTGATGATGTTGATGTAAACAAACTTACTGTGCTGCCAGTCTCATCATATAAAAGCATAGCACAATTATGTACAATACATAACACTTGATAATGATAATAAATGACTATGTTACTGGCTTATGTATTTGCTATACTATTGTTTTTAATGTTGTTTTAAAGTGAATACTTTCTACTTATATTTTAAAAAATTAACTGTAAAACAACCTCAGGCAGATCTTTGAGGAAGTATTCCAGAAGAAGGTATTGTTAGCATAGGACATGACAGCTCCGTGTATGCTATTGTCCCTGAAGACCTCTGAGTGGGACAGGATGTGGAAGTGGAAGACAGTGATATTGATGATCCTGACGCTGTGTAGGCCCAGGCCAATGTGAATGTTTGGGTCTTTGTGTTTAACAAAAGAGTTTTAAAATTTAAAAATAACTGAAATTTTAAAAATAGTAAAAAAGCTTGTAGAGTAAGGACATAAACAAAAAAATTTTTGTATAGCTGTAAATGTGTTTGTGTTTTAACCTATAAAAAGTTAAAAAAAACTTTAAAAGTTTATAAAGTAAAAAAGTTACAGTAAGTTAATGTTCATTTTTTATTGAAAAAAATTATAAATTTATTGCAGCCTAAGTGTACAGTGCTTATAAAACCTACAGTAGTGTATAGTAATATTCTAAGCCTTCACATTCACTCACCACTCACCCAGAGGCTCACCCAGAGCAATTTTCATCTGCAAATTCCATTCATGGTAAGTGTCCTATAGACATATATCATTTTTTATTTTTTATGCCATATTTTTACTGTACCACTTTTATGTTTAGGTACATTTACATATACAAATACCATTGTGTTATAGTTGCCTATGGTATTTAGTACAGTAATGTGCTGTATAGGTTTGTAGTCTAGGAGCAATCGGCTATGCCATACAGCCTAGGTGTATAGTAGGCTGTACCATCTAGTTTTGCATAAGTATACTCCATGATGTTCACACAATGGCAAAATCACTTAATGACACATCTCTCAGAATGTATCCCTATAATTAAGCGATGCAGAACTGTATTTAGTTTTAGGATATATGACATGTTTATATCCTAGCGGATATAGGGTGTCTAGTACACATAATAATAATAATAATTCAGTTTATTGAAGAAAGTGAGAAGAGCATGAAAGATAATAATGTGGAACCACCAGTATATAAGGAGTGTTCAAAAGCTAAAGTATGGGTGAATAAAACTAAGAAGGAGCAAGCAAAGAGGCAGAAAGGGATTCAGGAAGTTATGCAATGGTGGAAGCCAAAGACTATAGAGTTTGAAGGAAGAAAATGCCAGCAGTGTGCAATCCACAAGAAAGATCATGTAAGATTAAGCACTTAAATGAAACTGGATTTTACAATCAGGAGATTATTGATGACCTCAAAGAAGGCAAACTTGGACAGGAATTCATGGTGGATGTTTGCTCACAGTTAACTGAAGTGTAAATAGAAGATGAAGTAGAGATATCAAGTACTGATTACTTTTTTTGAGGAGTTTGCTGTTAACAGAAATAGCAAACTGACACTATCTGGAGGAAATGCAAATGTGAGGAACATTTTTCTTTGTTTACCTAATTATCTTGTCTCTATTTTCGATTGTGAGAAAGTCAGAAAGGTTACTGAGTGCAGGCACATTTCCTATAGAAAATTGAGCAGGGAGGCTGAAATAAGTTATTGCAGTTTGAAGAGCAAATGGAAATGTGGAAGAGAAGGCAGGCGGAAGCTGACTGCAGCTAGAGAAGCATGTGGTGAATGCATTTTCTAGGTTTTGAACACGAGGTTCAAAATGCTTAGTGACAGGGTATATTGTTGCCTTTTTTTTTTAGGTGAGTCATAATTGAGATAGCAAAACTTTTCCCAACTTATCTCCTTGAACTAGTCTGAAGCAAGTTGTACAGTTAAATTCTCTTTTTTTCTTATTTATTTATTTATTTATTTATTATTATTATACTTTAAGTTTTAGGGTACATGTGCACAATGTGCAGGTTAGTTACATATGTATACATGTGATGTGCTGGTGCACTGCACCCACTAACTCGTCATCTAGCATTACGTATATCCCCAGTGCTATCCCTCCCCACTCCCCACACCCCACAACAGTCCCCAGAGTGTGATGTTCCCCTTCCTGTGTCCATGTGTTCTCATTGTTCAGTTCCCAGCTGTGAGTGAGAATATGCGGTGTTTGGTTTTTTGTTCTTGCGATAGTTTACTGAGAATGATGATTTCCAGCTTCATCCATGTCCCTACAAAGGACGTGAACTCATCATTTTTTATGGCTGCATAGTATTGCATGGTGTATATGTGCCACATTTTCTTAATCCAGTCTATCATTGTTGGACATTTCGGTTGGTTCCAAGTCTTTGCTATTGTGAATAATGCCACAATAAACATACGTGTGCATGTGTCTTTATAGCAGCATGATTTATAGTCCTTTGGGTATATACCCAGTAGTGGGATGGCTGGGTCAAATGGTATTTCTAGTTCCAGATACCTGAGGAATTGCCACACTGACTTCCACAATGGTTGAACTAGTTTACAGTCCCACCAGCAGTGTAAAAGTGTTCCTATTTCTCCACATCCTCTCCAGCACCTGTTGTTTCCTGACTTTTTAATGATTGCCATTCTAACTGGTGTGTAATGGTATCTCATTGTGGTTTTGATTTGCATTTCTCTGATGGCCAGTGATGGTGAGCATTTTTTCATGTGTTTTTTGGCTGCATAAATGTCTCCTTTTGAGAAGTGTCTGTTTATGTCCTTTGCCCACTTTTTGATGGGGTTGTTTGTTTTTTTCTTGTAAATTTGTTTGAGTTCATTGTAGATTCTGGATATTAGCCCTTTGTCAGATGAGTAGGTTGCGAAAATTTTCTCCCATTTTGTAGGTTGCCTGTTCACTCTGATGGTAGTTCTTTTGCTGTGCAGAAGCTCTTTAGTTTAATTAGATCCCATTTGTCAATTTTGGCTTTTGTTGCCATTGCTTTTGGTGTTTTAGACATGAAGTCCTTGCCCATGCCTATGTCCTGAATGGTAATGCCTAGGTTTTCTTCTAGGGTTTTTATGGTTTTAGGTCTAATGTTTAAGTCTTTAATCCATCTTGAATTGATTTTTGTATAAGGTGTAAGGAAGGGATCCAGTTTCAGCTTTCTACATATGGCTAGCCAGTTTTCCCAGCACCATTTATTAAATAGGGAATCCTTTCCCCATTGCTTGTTTTTCTCAGGTTTGTCAAAGATCAGATAGTTGTAGATAGGCGGTGTTATTTCTGAGGGCTCTGTTCTGTTCCATTGATCTATATCTCTGTTTTGGTACCAGTACCATGCTGTTTTGGTTACTGTAGGCTTGTAGTATAGTTTGAAGTCAGGTAGTGTGATGCCTCCAGCTTTGTTCTTTTGGCTTAGGATTGACTTGGTGATGCGGGCTCTTTTTTGGTTCCATATGAACTTTAAAGTAGTTTTTTCCAATTCTGTGAGAAAGTTATTGGTAGCTTGATGGGGATGGCATTGAATCTGTAAATTACCTTGGGCAGTATGGCCATTTTCACGATATTGATTCTTCCTACCCATGAGCATGGAAGGTTCTTTCATTTGTTTGTATCCTCTTTTATTTCCTTGAGCAGTGGTTTGTAGTTCTCCTTGAAGAGGTCCTTCACATCCCTTGTAAGTTGGATTCCTAGGTATTTTATTCTCTTTGAAGCAATTGTGAATGGGAGTTCACTCATGATTTGGCTCTCTGTTTGTCTGTTGTTGGTGTGTAAGAATGCTTGTGATTTTTGTACACTGATTTTGTTAAATTCTCTTTAAGAAAATCTGATTGTACCGCTTGATCACCTGTGTGCTTGTAGTCCTTGCTTAAAACCCATTCAAGTGAAATAGTTCTCTGTAAGGCTGCCCTGCTTACCCTTGGTGGTAAATAGTCCTGAAATATGGCCACTAAGAGTTCCTTTTCTTCTTGAGAGCATGCCAAACCATCCATTAAGAGATGGTCTACTTACCCTGCTTTGCATATGGCTGCACTTGTGACTTGCTTATCAAGAAGTTCTGTCTGTCTCCAGTGATCCAATTTTAAAAAGCAACTTCTCATTTACATTCCATTTTGTGGTAATTTTTAGCTCCTTGAAATTTGTGGCTTTTGTTGGGATTGCGGAAATGTCTTTTACCATGCTCCTCTGGTGCTACTTTAGCTTTATTCCTGTGTAGGAAGGTTGTTTCCTGTGCACTCTGCTTGGGAAGAGCTGATGGTTCATGTTCAGATGCCACTTGATGGTCACCCAAGACTTAGAGAGATTTGTCAGTAAATAAGGTATTCAGATATTGTTTCTATAGGTCAGGGGTGGATTTCTAGTGCCAAAACTTCAACGGCACCTTCACATACATTCCCATACACACCATTTGAACTTTTTGTTTAGTCTAACCCAGATTGCTTATGAGTAATTTTCAGTTTATAACAGACAGTGGGAGAAGTTGCTGGGCTTGATATCTTTTGAAAATATTGGTTTATTTAAAACAAAAAAAATCCACTAAAGTTATTTGCAGATTTCAATTATGTACGAAAATGAAAAAGAACAATATTTAATTTCTTAATGCAAACCAATTTTCAGCCTTAAAGCCTTAAGAGAGCTGCGGAATAGATCTAATGTCATTGTGACGTAGAAGGTCTTAATATGAGCAATCTCCCAATTAAATTAGGTGCCTACATAAAATAACACACTTGGCTTTAGAGTAAAATTTAAATTTCTTTGCAATTCCATATTAATTTTTATTATCCTTTCTCCTCTAATTTTATTTTATTTTATTTATTTATTTGAGACGGAGTCGGGCTCTGTCACCCAGGCTGGAGTGCAGTGGTGCTATCTCGGCTCACTGCAACCTCCGCCTCCTGGGTTCAAGTGATTCTCCAGCTTCAGCCTCCCTAGTTGTTGGGATTATAGGCGCGTGCCACAATACCCAGCTATTTTTTGTTTTTGTTTTTTTTTAGTAGAGATGGGGTTTTGCCTGACCTCTGGTGATCCTCCCGCCTGAGCCTCCCAGAGTGCTGAGATTATAGGTGTGAGCCACCGTGCTGGCCTCCTGTAATTTTGCCTGACCTCTGGTGATCCACCTGTCTGGGCCTCCCAGTGTGCTGGGATTACAGGCATGAGCCACTGCGCCCAGCCTTCTCTAATTTTAGATAATTAAAATTTTATTATAATTGCACTTAATAAAAGATGTTTAACATGTTCTGGGTTTAGTTCAAAGATTTCTCATCAAGGCTTGGTTTTTCCTGTTTACACTTTTTTTCCACTCATGTCTGGCTTATCTTCTGAATCAGGAAATAAATGCCATCTCTTACCAGGGACACGGCAAAAATAGAATGATTGATATCACTTGGCACCTACTACACTGAATGCCTGAAGTGGAAGACTGGAGATCAAAGGCAGACCCGGAATGGCTGATAATTTGTATATTGAGTTCATAACCAGACAGCCATTGTTCTGATGCAAATGGATAGACTGTGTGTGCATGGAAACTTAAGTACAGTAGAAAACAATCTGCACGAGGATTAAACATTTTATATATTCCCATTGTGATTTCTGAATATCACAGTGCCTTCATAAGAAATGTATCTCTAAGCATGTACTTCTATCACAAGCACTCTGATTTGCACATCTGGTTCTGCAGATAAAATTATGCGCTATAGATAATGGGCAGATGTATAATGTTTCGATGATATGAGCACATATGCCTTATGTCTCTATTAAATCTATCAGATACATGTTATATACTCTATAGAGAGAAGGAGAATACAAATGGGTGTTTTTATTGCCAATTTCAGTAAAACTGGCATTTTCCTTCAAATTATGTAAGTCATTTCAGTAGAATCACATAGACCAAGATATGATAAACAATAGCTGCTACTAAGTTTCAATAAACTCGCTAGAAAAATCTCATAAAAAGAGATACTAAGCAAAAGGGACAAAATTAACAGGTTTGGAGCAGTGGTTCAGACAATTCATACTTGATTTAAAACAATTTTGAGGCCAGGCACGGTGGCTCAAGCCTGTAATCCCAGCACTTTGGGAGGCCGAGGTGGGCGGATCACGAGGTCAGGAGATCGAGACCATCCTGGCTAACTTGGTGAAACCCCATCTCTACTAAACATACAGAAAATTAGCCGGGCATGGTAGAAGGCACCTGTAGTCCCAGCTACTTGGGAGGCTGAGGCAGGAGAATGGCATGAACCCGGGAGGCGGAGCTTGCAGTGAGCCCAGATCGTGCCACTGCACTTCAGCCTTGGCGACAGAGCGAGACTGAAAAATTTTTGATTGGTTTTTCAAGAATATCAATCAATTTAGACCTCAAGGCATTTTTAAACAATATTATAAACCACTGCATTATAATTTAAAGCAAGGTCAGGTGGAAGGAGTGGGAAAGACAGGTTGATAGCATGCATAGAGAGGGCTATGTGTGTGTGTGTCTGTGTGTGTGTGTGTGTACACGCATGCACAAGTCAGAAAGTTATTCTTTGGCGTTTTTGAGTGTTCATTTGTTAAGGTAAAGAAGACTTGGTGGAGGCATTAATAACTTTCAGGACTTTGTTGAAAACTTGCCCTGAAGGACAGAGCTGTATTGGAAGATGAATACTTAACGACTGTACTCTAGCTTGTCAAGCAGCCGCAGAAGAAAAGAGAAACAATGCGAGAATGTTGATCTGCATGTATATTCTACAGAGTAAGCAGATGATCGATTATTTGTTGATGCTATTTGAACAGGAAAAATATTCTAGAACCAAGGGGCTGTATAAAAACATATTTCAAGAACAACTCCAGGCATTTTTCCTGTCAGTCATGTTATCACTATCCATTGGGTTATCTGATATTTTATCATTAAGAGTATTTTTCTTAGAAATTCTATTTGGAATACTCCTATATATGGCTTCTCTTTCAACAGCAAACTCCAGTTCTTCTTTCTCCTCCCCACCCCCATCTCTCCAACACACACACACACACACACACACACACACACACACACCCCCCTACCTGTCCTGAAAGTTACCCTTGCTTTACATAGCTAAAGCTAAGCAGCATGGGGACAATGGAATTCGGGTCCTAAATAAGGACCTAACAACTTAAAGCTCTGTCTAATTTTTAAACTTTAAGAATCATAGAAGGGTAAAATTTTTCTTGATTTAAGTCCTTTTCCAAATTTTCTAACCAGAAACGATCTCCAAAATGATCTATTCTAACCTTTCCCCCAAAATTTTTTCTTTTAAAAATAAGACATTTTGTAGACATGCAAAAGCCTCCCAGCCAAGAATCAAAACCCCAAAGCTGTAGATGGCAGAATTCTTTAATTCTTATTTTTAAAAGAATAAGAATGTTTAAAAATAAGAATTATAATTTTTCTTGTTTTATACATAAGAAAACTGAGGCTCCAAATAGCAAAGTGACTTGCCTGGTAAACACTTAACAAAAATTTAACAATGACCTTTTCTGGATTAAAACCTTCTTGTAGTTTATTATCCCCAACAGTATAAAGCATTAAGCACTTTGACGAGGCTCTTCCTTTACTTCCTGTGCCCTCGTCACCCCATTCCCCTCCATTATTGTCAATCAACTTGGAACTGCTACGACATCTCCACAGGCCTTGCTTAATGCCGTCTGTCCCTGGAGCACCCATCCACCTCCCCCTCCTCTGCCTGACTCTAACCCAGTGTTCAAAATGTGAAATAAACCATTGGACAGTCATAAAACTGTCTCTACTTCCCTCAGTTTGGCGTACAGGCTTATCTGTGACCCCATAAGACTGTGATTATCTTGATCACAGTTCTTAGGCTTTTGAAATTATCTGTTAATTGTTTCTGTCCCATTAATCTCTGCATACTTTAAAGACAGAGATTGCGTCTTGTGATCTTTGCATTCCCAGCAAGTGTCTGGAACAAAGTAGTTTCTCAACAAATTTATGGAGTCTCTATTTTTCTTGCTAAAACAACCTCATCATTTTCTCTCTTCCCATCTACATGGTAAGCATGAGCCTGTTAGATTTACAGTGATTGAAGTTTATTAAAAATATATATCACTTATATAGCAACTGAAATATTGAAAGCACTTGCATGTATGTTATTTTAGGCAAATACTAGAAGTATTTTATAAATGCATTGTATCAGACTTTTTTCCATATATTTCTGCCATGATATTTGAACATAAATGCAGGAATATAATATTCATCCTGTTTAAATTTCATTTTATTCTTCAGACAATGTTCTGTCTATCTTAGATGCTACTTTGACAACCCGGATAAAACAAATATGCCCTGGAAATGGAAGGCTGGATCCTTACACACTTTAAAAATTATTTATTTTAGTCTCTACTAATATACACTTATTTGTCACAAAGCATGCAAAGAGTTGGTAAATAAACGCTATAACATTTTGGATTTAATCATTGTGGCATAGTGGTTAAGTGTGGTCTCTGTGTCCAAAAAGCCTGAGTTTAAATCCTAGCTCTGCTATTTAATTGTATAACTTTAGACAACTGACTTAATCATTCTCTGCCGCAAGTTCCTCATCTAGAATATGGAGTGAAAAATCTTGACTCTTTAAAGGGCTGTGAGGGTAAGTTAATTAAAATATCTAAAGTTTCTGTCACATACAGGACTCAATCAATAGTGGCCATTATTATTATTTAGGTTTAATTGAATCAGCTGATGCTCTTGTTTTCCACACTTTTGTACAACTTCATAAAAGGATATGGAAATTAAGAATAACTCATCCATTATTTTTCCCTTTCACTTGATTGATACTTATATTGAAGTATTTCATTTAATATTTTAAAACAAAATCCTCGTGTAGGCTATCAACACAAAAATATGAAATAAGTAACTATATGTTTGCTTATAAGTTTTAAAAATACATGTAATTATTACTGATATTTTAAATATTATATAAATGGATGGATGGTGAAAACAGCACCTTTCAATGAAATATACAAATAAAATTAGCAATATTTGTGTTTTGATTCATGTATGTATGCATGTATGTTACCAGCTTATTGAAGGCTTTCAATGCTGTAGGTATTGTGGCAGGTACTGTTGATTATCATTCCCTTCCCTCCTTACCAAGAGAACCTTAGAGCACCACACCATTGTGCTAAGTTAAAGGGATGGATTCAGTTTCTCAGATTGCTTATACTTGACATGGTCATGTGACCCAGTTCTGGCCAATGAGGTATGAGCAGAAGTCCATCAGCAGGACCTCTGGGGAAGTTTTGCAAAGGGAGTCTTCCAGCCATGTTCCATTTGATCTTTTGCCTTTTGTACTGTGCCCTTCTTCCTTCCTGGAGGATAGATTCTGTACCTTAGACGTGCAAAAAGCCTTTCAGCCACAGAATCAAAACCTACAAGTTGTGGAAGGCAGAGCAGGAAGACACTAGAAGTCTGTGTCTTTAATCACAGTTTTGAGGTGTCATACCAGCCCTGCAATACTTATCCTTGATATGGTTAGGCTTTGCGTTCCCACCCAAATCTCATCTTGAATTGTAATCCTCAAGTGTTGAGGGAGAGACCTGGTGGAGGGTGATTGAATCAAGGGGGCAGTTTTCCCCATGCTGTTTTCATGATAGTAAGTGAGTTCTCATGAGATCTGATGGTTTTGTAAGTGTTTGACATTTCCTCCTATATACACTCTTTCTCTCTCCTGCTGCTTTGTGAAGAAGGTGCATGCTTCCCCTTCTGCCTTGATTGTAAGTTTCCTGAGGCCTCCCCAGCCATGTGGAACTGTGAGTCAATTAAACCTCTTTCCTTTACAAATTACCCAGCCTTGGGTATTCCTTTATAGCAGTGTAAAAGTGAACTAACACAATCCTTAACAACGTTTTACCTCTTAAGCCAAACAATACCTTTGAGTTTAAGCCCTTATTTATAGGGATATCTGTTAACTACTACGAGTTCAGTCCCAAGCGAAACAAATATAAACGTGATTTATTTGTTTTTGCCAATCACTACTTTTAATCATTTTTGGTTGAATCTCTTTGTCTTATTCCTCAGCAAAATATTGGTGAGATTCTATAATTCCTTTATCACTTTTAATTATAGAAACTGAGCTAAATTTAAGCATTCAATCTTGAAATTGTTTTTCATCTCTTTTAGAAAAAAAAAAAAAAGGCAATCACCATGATCCAGAAATAAAACATCCCTAAAACTGAAAGGTGAAACAGTGTCCACATTTTCAAAAATAGAGGACCTTTTAGGACCTCTAAATATTTAGACTAAGAAAGAAAATGTCAAAGAGAATCAAGATCCATGATTTAAAGTATCTAAGATCCTTTATATGAAAATATGATTTCTACTATATAGCAAATACGTGAGTAAAAGGAGTAGACAGAACTAGCATGACAGAAGCTGAGTAATCATTAGTTAAGACTGGTTTATAGAGGATTCCTATAAATATAGACCCTTAATCTTCAGGAAATATCAAAGGATATGCAAAAATAAATGATTCCACTTTATTGTCTGTTGAAATTTTGATTTTTTCAATGAAATGTTAAATAATTGTAGCTTTTTAAAAAAGTCTTGACTATTTTCTATATAAATCCTGAAAGGTAACTTTAATAAAATCTAAACTATTTCACTGGAATTTATGGGGGAAGAAAAGCATAAGTCAAGGACTGACCACATTTAGCCATCTACAATGATAATTGATAGATAATGATCTTCAATGATAAAAATCATTATTTTGCATTGAAAAATGTATTGTATATTATTACCAAAAGATGAACGCAGTTCCATGGAAAAAAGTAGAAATTTTTAATATAGAGTATTATCTGTGTTTTGAGAACATAAATCACCCTGCACTTTCCTTCTGGCTTCTTGGCAACCTCCAATTTTAAATTCCATCAATAGGTGTAGCCCACGTAACATAAAACTCAGATGGCAGTATGTGCATCTTTCTATTTGCTTTGGCAGACTTCTCATCTCTCTTAATAAGACTTGGATAACACGTGGAAATCAATAAAATTATAGTTGGTTATGAAAGACGGCAATCCTAGCTTATTCAGGGTTTTGTATTCCACCTCCTAGGGAACAAAAATTCCACAGATTTTATGCTTCTTCGGGTGGCTCAGTGTAGTTCCTTGGACAAACAAAGGAAGGGGATTTACACATTGTTCTTGGTGGTTTTCCCAGGTGTTTATTTTCTTTCAAAAAAAAAATCGTAGCTACTTTAGACTTGCTAGGGAAATACAAGCATTTTGGGGGCAGGCTCTCAGTTTATTTTTCTAATCTCCCTATACTATTTATTTTCAGCACCTTTGCAAGTTCTTCTTTTAGGTTGTTCTTCAACCATCAGCATTTAAGCCAATGGTTTATACATATTCCCGTGGGTATACACAGATTTATTTGGGATTCTCTGAGGAGTAATTATACTTAAATCCCTTTATTTCAAGCTCAATAATGCATATCAAAATACTCACGAGTGTGATGTTATGTAGATAACCTTGAATTTGTTGTTTTTTTTCAGTAAATCATTCTCAAACTTTCACACACTAACTGTCATAGCTAACAAATTGCAACATACCCCATACCTATTTGCATCATCCAGGTGTCTTTTCCACTGAGGTGGAAAACTGCTCTTTTAAACAGCAATGGAGTTTGACCTGCCTATCCATGATGTAACAGTTTAAAAATATACACACTGAGGTTTTAAAGATTTTTTGTAGTCAGTCAACCTGATTTACTCTTTAGAAGCATGTGCTATTTTAACGAACTCACCCACTCAAGTCTGTTGAAACATGGAAGCTGATGTGTCCATCTGACTGCAGTGGCATTCATTTCCATATTGATGGCATATATTTGTTATTTTCTGAACCTAATCATAAAGCTCATAGCCTATAACATGCAGCCTGTGGTGTTGAGACTTCTTTAGCTTTGCAATGCCAGCAATTGGTTCATGATAGCAAATGGTTGTTCAATTAATGTGGAAGAATTCTTGTGATACTAGAATCACAGGGTATCTCAACTGACCAATGTTAAAAACGAGGTCTTAACGTTCTTGAATAGGGTAGGTAGTTGATAGCTTCTGACTTGATGAGTACAGAAACTCTTCTTTGAGGGTGCAAGAAAAGGAAAGGAATGTTTGTATTCACCAGGAGAAAGATTGGAAATGTCAAAGCAGTAGAGAGGATGGCATAGCAGCTCTCTAATCCAGCTTGAAATAGAATTTTATTATCAACAGAAAGGTTCAGAGCCTTAAGCCGAAGAAAAATGTTTTCATAAAAGACTTCGTGAAATTCTAAACACAAGCAGCGCTACTTGGGAAAAAAAAAAAACAAGTGCAGCTTAAAACTGGGGACAGATGGGTTACTCTCCCCACTTATACCTTGTCAGCACCTCATTAACCCCCTCAGGTCTTGAGGCTTTCCTCCCAATCTGAGAGTCTCTTTCTTTTAAAACTTGAGTTCATCTTATTTACATTTACTGACATGACAGATAGGCTTGTTCTTAGTTCTTATATGATTTGTCATTGCTGCTTTGTAAATTGTCTAATTTTTATATATGATCTGTCTCCATGTTTTGTTTTGGTTATGTTTCCCAACCAGTAGCTTGGAGAGTACATTCTCTGTTTTTAGATCCTGTAGTGTTGATGTTTACAAATTGTAACAATAATGCTTCTTATTTCTTTCATTTTTACAGAGTGTATATGAATTGTCCCTTTTAAACAGTGAATGAACTGGAACATTCGTATTTTCTCCCACTTTTCTTCTCTACTTCATCTCTTGATTTTGGTTATTATGTTCTCAATTTAAATTTTTCTTACAGATCTCTTAAAATAATACATATATATACATATACGTATGTATCTTCAAATAATACATTTAAACATTTGCTGCTTGATTTGCCTACTTTAAACAGTATCAATCAACTTCCAGTGTGAAAAATCAGAAATTTAACCTAGTTATATTTCTATCACATTTCACCTTCAAGAGTATGTTAATTATATTGTTATTTTGAAATTCTCAACATTTTTAAATATTTCTCTTGTGATCTAAATGACTCCTACATTTGCTTATTGTTAATACTACATCTGAATAGATTATTATCTATTAATGCTCAAATAGATGTATAGCCAACCCTTTCCCACAATGTCTCCATTATGTTTTAAGAACCAGGGTTAAAGGGTGCTTCCACAGATAATCTTCACCCCTAGATTTTGTCATTATAATAGTAAAGGAGTGTTGGATCCATCAGAGATAGCCCTACTGTTTGAGGACCCTGCTATATTAGGATGATTTTCACTATGAGTAAGAAGGCTGAAACCACTAGGACATGCATTATCTTGCATGTTGAAGAATGATGAGAAAAGCATTTTCAGGGTGATTATTCAGTGGAACAGAGACCTTATGAAACACTCAAATCCTCTGCATCTTTTCTGACTGCCAAAATGGGCACACTCACTTTCCCCTTAGGCTGGCTCCCTTTGCGGTCCCAGGTGCCATATTTCCAAGCCTTACATGCAGATAATGCTATTCAGAGGCCCTAAAGAGGCTTAACCTTATTTGTGTCCCTTTTTTTTTGAGATGGAGTCTCATTCTGTCACCCAGGCTGGAGTGCAGTGGTGCAATCTCGGCTCACTGCAATCTCTGCCTCCCGAGTTCAAGCAATTCTCCTGCCTCAGCTTCCTGAGTAGCTGGGACTACAGGCACACACCACCACGCCTGGCTAATTTTAGTAGAGATGGGGTTTCACCATGCTGGCCAGGCGGGCCTCAAACTCCTGACCTCAGGTGATCCACTTGCCTCAGCTTCCAAAAGTGCTGAGATTATAGGCGTGAGCCACCGTGCCTGGCCCCTGTGTCCCTTTTTAAAATGAGAAAATGTTTCCCAGAAGCACACTGTTGCATACATTTTCCAGAATTGTGTCACTTCTCATTCTCAAACCAGGACAAATCATGATCGGGGGCTACAACTAATCATAATTAGTCTCTGAAGTTTGTGACCACCTCATACTCACAAAAACCAAGGCTCTGCCGACGAAGAATAAAGCCTGAGGAGGGAATGGGCAAAAAACTAGTTTTCCATTTTCCATTAGACAAACAGCAATGTCTGCTGTTGCTGAAACATTGCCAGAATTCTACAGAATGTGCGTCTGTCCTTGGTATTGTCTCGCAAGACTTGGCAAGTTATTCTAATAATTTTGTGGTATGTGGTCATAGCCATTTCCTGTCTTCATTGAAGATGGAATTTTTTTTTCCCTTTTCCTTCTCTCTGTTCAAGAGGCAATAGTGAGAAGACACAACTTCATTCTGCTGTCTATCAAACTAGAGATCAATGGAAGGGATATTGTCCTCAAAATCATTAACTGGAAAAGCAGTGGAGGAAAACTTTAACAATGCACTAGAGGAAACAACACAAACAGAATAGTTCTTGGAAAATTAGGAATGCTTCCTTTATTAGAGATTGACCATTTATCTTCTTTACATCTTAGAGACATAAAATTTCACAAGAGTAAGGAGAGATGGAAGTGGGTCAAATGATTTCCTACATCTTTTTTTCCTTATCAAATACAGTGCTCAAAAAATTTAAGCATTCCCTTTATTGCTTTCTTTCAGTCTTTTCGAGAAAGTGGGAATCAGTTCAAGTAGCCGTGAGGATCAGACATGGAATAATTTATTTGGTGATGGGAGGGTACAAAGACAGATTTTGCCTACAACCCATAATTGGTCTTCTGTAGGGACACTCAGGTAAGTATCTCAGCAAAAGGAAGACATATAGTTTTTATAGACTTTCTGGGCCAGATGGTTGCTGATGAAAACTCACAAGCTTCTCATAGACTACTCCCATTAAACTTCACCCAGAGGAAATCCCACCAGGCCTTAAGCAAAGGGACGAGTCCCTTCTAAATAGATTAGAGGACATATATCCAAAAAGTAGGCTTTCCTGGAATGTCAGTGAGACAGAACCATTAACTCACCTGGAAAAGGGGATGAAGCCAGGGAGCTGAGTGCTCTTGCACAGCGGATCCAACCCCCATGGAGCCCAATAAGCTAAGATCCACTGGTTTGAAATTCTTGCTGCCAGCACAGCAGTCTGAAGTCAACCTGGGACTCTCGAGCTTGGTTGGGGAAGGGGTGTCCACCATTGCTGAGGCTTGAGTACGGGGTTTTCCCCTCACAGTGTAAACAAAGTGCCTGGGAAGCTCGAACTGGGCGGAGCCCGCCACAGCGCTCAAAGCCCTGGTAGCCAGACTACCTCTCTAGATTCCTCCTCTCTGGGCAGGGCATCTCTGAAAGAAAGGCAGCAGCCCCAGTCAAGGGCTTACCGATAAAACTCCCATCTCCCTGGAACAGAGCACCTGGGGAAGGGGTGGCTGTGGGCAGCTTCAGCAGACTTAAATGTTCATGCCTGCCAGCTCTGGAGAAAGCAGCTGATCTTCAAGCACAGCACTCAAGCTCTGCTAAGGGACAGACTGCCTCCTCAAATGGGTCCCAGACCCCCATGCCTCCTGATGGGGAGATGCTTCCCAGCAGGGGACAAGAGACACTACATACAGGAGAGCTCTGGCCGGCATCTGGCGGGTCCCCCTCTGCGATGAAGCTTTCAGCGGAAGAAGCGGGCAGCAATCTTTGCTGTTCTGCAGCCTCCGCTGGTGATAACCAGGCAAACAGGGTCTGGAATGGACCTCTAGCAAACTCCCACAGACCTGCAGCAGAGGGTCCTGACTGCTAGAAGGAAAAGCAATAAATAGAAAGCAATAGCAATCAATATCAACAAAAAGTACCCCCATGCAAAAACCCATCTGAAGGTTACCAACATCAAACACCAAAGGTAGATAAATCCAGAAAGATGAGGATAAACCAATGTAAAAAGGCTAAAAATTCCAAAAACGAGAATGCCTCTTCTCGAAAGGATCACAACTCCTTGCCAGCAAGAGAACAAAACTGGATGGAGAATGAGTTTGACGAATTGACAAAATTAGGCTTCAGAAGGTGGGTAATAACAAACTCCTCTAAGCTAAAGGAGCATGTTCAAACCCAATGCAAGGAAGCTAAGAACCATGATAAAAGGTTAGAGGAATTGCTAACTAGAATAACCAGTTTAGAGAAGAAGATAAATGGCCTGATGAAGCTGAAAAACACAGCATGAGAACTTGGTGAAGCATAGGCAAGTATCAATAGCTGAGTCGATCAAGCCAAAGAAAGGATATCAGAGATTGAAGATCAACTTAATGAAATAAAGTGTGAAGACAAGATTAGAGAAAAAAGAATGAAAAGGAATGAACAAAGCCTTCAAGAAATATGGGACTATGTGAAAAGACCAAACCTATGTTTGATTGGTGTACCTGAAAATGACGGAGAGAATGGAACCAAGGTGGAAAACATTCTTCAGGATATTATCCAGGAGAACTTCCCAACCTAGCAAATCAGGCCAACATTCAAATTGAGGAAATACGGAGAACACCACAAAGATACTGCTCGAGAAGAGCAACCCCAAGACACATAATCATCAGATTCACCAAGGTTGAAATGAAGGAAAAAAATGTTAATGGCAGCCAGAGAGAAAGGTCAGGTCATCCACAAAGGGAAGCCCATCAGACTAACAGTGGATATCTCGGCAGAAACCCTACAAGCCAGAAGAGAGTGGGGGCCAATATTCAACATTCTTAAAGAAAAGAATTCTCAACCCAGAATTTCATATCTAGCCAAACTAAGCTTCATAAGTGAAGGAAAAATAAAATCCTTTACAGACAAGCAAATGCTGAAGCATTTTGTCACAGCCAGGCCTGCCTTACAAGAGTTCCTAAAGGAAGCACTAGATATGGGAAGGAAAACTGTTACCAGCTACTGCAAAAAAAATACCAAAATGTAAAGACCATCAACACTATAAAGAAACTGCATCAGCTAACAGGCAAAATAACCAGCTAGCATCATAATCACAGGATTAAATTCACCCATAACAATATTAACCTTAAATGTAAATGGGCTAAATGCCCCAAATAAAAGACACAGACTGGCAAATTGGGTAGAGTCAAGAGCCATCGGTGTGCTGTATTCAGGAGACCCATCTCACACGAAAAGACACACATAGGCTCAAAATAAAGGGATGGAGGAAGATTTACCAAGCAAATGGGAAGCAAAAAAGAAGCAGGGGTTGCAGTCGTAGTCTCTGATAAAACAGACTTTAAACCAACAAAGATGAAAAAAGACAAAGAAGGGCATTACATAATGATAGAGGGATCAATGCAACAAGAAGAGCTAACCATCGTACATATATATGCACCCAATACAGGAGCACCCAGATTCATAAAGCAAGTTCTTAGAGACATACAAAGAGACTTAGACTCCCACACTATAATGGGGGGACACTTTAACACCCCACCGTCAATAATAGATCAATGAGACAGAAAATTAACAAGGATATTCAAGACTTGAACTCAGCTCTGGACCAAGCAGACTTAACAAACATCTACAGAACTTTCCACCACAAATCAACAGAATATACATTCTTCTCAGCACCACATCACACTTACTCTAAAACTGACCACATAATTGGAAGTAAAATACTCCTCAGCAAATGCAAAAGAATGGAAATCATAACAAACAGTCTCTCAGACCACATTGCAATCAAATTGGAATTCAGGATTAAGAAACTCACTCAAAACTGCAGACAACTACGTGGAAACTGAACAACCTGCTCCTGAATGACTACTGGGTAAATAATGAAATTAAGGCAGAATAAATAAGTTCTTTGAAACCAATGAGGACAAAGACACAACTTATAAGAATCTCTGGGACACAGCTACAGCAGTGTTTAGAGGGAAACTTCTAGCACAAGTGCCCACAGGAGAAAGCGGGAAAGATCTAAAACCAATACCCTAACACCACAATTAAAAGAACTAGAAAGCAAGAGCAAACAAATTCAAAAGCTAGCAGAAGACAAGAAATAACTAAGAACAGAGTAGAATTGAAGGAGATAGAGACACAAAAAACCCTTCAAAAAAATCAGTGAATCCAGGAACTGGTTTCTTAAAAAGATCAACAAAATAGATAGACTGCTAGCCAGACTAATAACAAAAGAGAGAAGAATCAAATAGACTCAATACAAATGATAAAGGGTATGTCACCACTGATCCCACAGACATACAAACTACCATCAGAGAATACTATAAACACCTATATGCAAATAAACTAGAAAATCTAGAAGAAATAGATAAATTCCTGAACACATACACCCTCCCAAGACTAAACCAGGAGGAAGTTGAATCCCTGAATAGACCAATAACAAGTTTTGAAATTGAGTCAGCAATTAATAGCCTACCAACCAAAAAAAGCCTAGGACCAGATGGAGTCACAGCTGAATTCTACCAGTGGTACAAAGAGGAGCTGGTACCATTCCTTCTGAAACTATTCCAAACAATTGAAAAAGAGGGACTCCTCCCTAACTCATTTTATGAGGCCAGCATCATCCTGATACCAAAACCTGTCAGAGACACAAGAACAAAAGAAAATTTGAGGCTAATATTCCTGATGAACATTAATGCAAAAACCCTCAATAAAATACTGGCAAACTGAATCCAGCAGCACATCAAAAACCTTATCTACCACAATCAAGTCAGCTTCATCCCTGGGATGCAAGGATGGTTCAACATATACAAATCAGTAAACGTAATCCATCACATAAACAGAACCAGTGACAAAAACCACATGATTATCTCAATAGATGTAGAAAAGGCCTTCGATAAAATTCAACACCCCTTTATGCTAAAAACTCTCAATAAACTGGGTGTAGATGCCATGTATCTCAAAATAATAAGAGTTATTTATGACAGACCCACAACCAATATCATACTGAATGGGCAAAAGCTGGAAGCATTCCCTTTGAAAATCAGCACAAGACAAGGATGCCCTCTCTCACCACTCCTATTCAACATAGTATTGGAAGTTCTGGCGAGGGCAATCAGGCAAGAGAAAGAAATAAGGAATATTCATATAGGAAGAGAGGAAGTCAAATTATCTGTTTGCAGATGACATGATTGTAGATTTAGAAAACCCCATCGTCGGCCAGGCACGGTGGCTCATGTCTGTAATCCCAGCACTTTGGGAGGCCAAGGCAGGTGGATCACGAGGTCAGGAGATCAAGACCATCCGGTCTAACATGGTGAAACCCGTCTCTACTAAAAATAGAAAAAAATTAGCCAGCCATGTTGGCTGGCTACTCAGGAGGCTGAGGCAGGAGAATGGCATGAACTCAGGAGGCAGAGCTTACAGTGAGCTGAGATCGTGCCACTGCACTCCAGCCTGGGCAACAGAGTGAGACTCCATCTCAAAAAAAAAGGAAAACCCCATCGTCTCAGCCCAAAATCTCCTTAAGCTGAAAAGCAACTTCAACAAAGTCTCAGGATACAAAATCAATGTGCAAAAATCATAAGCATTCCTATACACTAGTAATAGTCAAGCAGAGAGCCAAATCATGATTGAACCTTCATTCACAATTGCTACAAAGAGAATAAAATACCTAGGAATATAACTTACAAAGGATGTGAAGGACCTCTTCAAGGAGAACTACAAACCACTGCTCAAGGAAATAAGAGAGGACACAAACAAGTGGAAAAACATTCCATGCTCATGGATAGGAAGAATCAATATCATCAAAATGGCCATACAGCCCAAAGTAATTGATAGATTCAATGCTATCCCTATCAAGCTACCATTGACTTTCTTCACAGAATTAGAGAAAACTACTTTACATTTCATATGGAACCAAAAAAGAGCTGTATAGCCAAGACAATCCTAAGCAAAAAGAACAATGCTAGAGGCATCACACCACCTGACTTCAAACTATACTACAAGGCTACAATAACAAAAACAGCATGGTACTCGTACCAAAACAGATATATAGACCAAGGGAACAGAATAGAGGCCTCAGAAATAATGCTGCACATCTACAACCATCTGATCTTTGACAAACCTGAGAAAAACAAGCAATGGGGAAACGATTCCTTATTTAATAAATGGTGTTGGGAAAACTGGCTAGCCATATGCAGAAATCTGAAACTGGACTCCTTCCTTATACCTTGTAGAAAAGTTAACTCAAAATGGATTAAAGACTTAAACATAAGATGTAAAGCCGTAAAAACCCTAGAAGAAAACCTAGGCAGTACTATTCAGGACATAGGCATGGGCAAAGACTTCATGACTAATCACCAAAAGCAATTGCAACAAAAGCCAAAATTGACAAATGGGATCTAATTAAACTAAAAAGCTTCTGCACAGCAAAAGAAACTATCAGAGTGAACAGGCAACCTACAGAATGGGAGAAAATTTTTGCAATCAATCCATCTAACAAAGGCTAATATCAAGAATCTACAAGGAACTTAAATTTACAAGAAAAAAACAAACGACCCCATCAAAAAGTGGCAGAAGGATATGAACAGAGACTTTCAAAAGAAGACATTTATGCAGCCAACAAACATGAAAAAAAGCTCATCATCACTAGCCATTAGAGAAATGCAAATCAAAACCACAATGAGATACCATCTCATGCCAGTTAGAATGGTGATCATTAAACAGTCAGGAAACAACAGATGCTGGAGAGGATGTGGAGAAATAGGAATGCTGTTACACTGTTGGTGGGAGTGTAAATTAGTTCAACCATTGTGGAAGACAGTGTGGTGATTCTTCAAGGATCTAGAACCAGAAATACCATTTGACCCAGCAATCCCATTACTGGGTATATACCCAAAGGATTATAAATCATGCTACTATAAAGACACATGCACACATATGTTTACTGCAGCACTATTCACAATAGCAAAGACTTGGAACCAACCCAACTGCCCATCAGTGATAGACTGGATAAGGAAAATGTGGCACATATACCCCATGGAATAATATGCAACCATAAAAAAGGATCAGTTCATGTCCTTTGCAGGGACATGAATGAAGCTGGAAACCATCATTCTCAGCAAACTATCACAAGAACAGAAAACCAAACACCGCATGTTCTCACTCATAAGTGGGAGCTGAACAAGGAGAACACATGGGCACAGGGAGGGAAACATCACACACTGGGGCCTGTCAGGGGTTGGGGGGCAAGAGGAGGGATAGCATTAGGAGAAATACCCAATGTAGATGACGGGTTGATGGGTGCAGCAAACCACCATGGCACACGTATACCTATGTGGTAAACCTGCACGTTCTGCACATGTGTTCCAGAACTTAAAGTATAATTTTAAAAAATTGAAAAAGAAAAGAAAGGCTTTCTAAACAAAGGAGATCCAAGTAGGGTTATTTCATTTCCTTCAGAGCAAACAAAGCAGATATTTTATAAGAAAGTATTCAGTGACCCTTGCCCAAGTTTCTTCAGAACATTGATAATAATCTCAGTGTACTCCTTTCCTGTAAGAAGGATAGATCACTACATGGCTTAAGGCATGTATAAAGAGGTATTTCCTGACATCTTCTACAGAAACACATTGAGAGGGCACCAAGATACTATAGCAAGGGAAATTAGGAGCTGGGAGTGTGATAGAACTCATCATAATATCCATCACTTTAACTTCTTTACTACCCTCAATTTTATGAGGCAAGACTCAGAGACTTTCATGCTAAACATACATACTTAAGCAAAATTAAGGCCAAGTCTCTTAAAACAGATGAATCTTCACCACTTCTCCATATAATTCTGCCAGGATGAATTGAAACTGATTGTGTATAGGAGCCATTCTTGAGATGGAGGCAGCAGCTGTGACGTGAGAGAATGACTCTAAGAACTCTTTGGGTGGTAATTTTAGTCAGATTCCTCAAACCAATCCTCTCCATGGTAGCACAATCAGCAGAGGCCCAGAAGCATCAGGTACTTAACTACTTAGAGTACATGGATCTATTGATTACTATGATCAAAACTTGGATCAAAAGGAATCTCAGGACTGCTCTGATGTTATGATTGTAGTCCTGGAGTGCTACATAAAAGCTAGCCAATGCCATATCTGAAGAAACGTAGAACAACTCTGACTTGTGCAGAATGCTTAGGGAGTAAGACCTATTAGTTACTTAAACTATCTGGTGGTTCCACAAATATAGTCTGTGGATAATCACTTTTTGGAGGGACTAAATGTAATAATTAACATTACAGAAGCATAATAAATTTGCTTTTCTCTCTTTTTGATTATTCAGGAGGCACTTTTGATCTTAGATTTTTTTCTATGTTCAATAACCTCTATCTTATATTTCTATAGAAGAAAAATATGGCTTTTTCAATGTTTTAGGGGCACTTTTTGCATTAGATAAGGCCTTAAAGAGGGAAATGGGACACATTAACTACTATGATTTATTTATTTTGAGCCTCCTTCATCATTCCAGTCCCTAAAGACTAATCAACA
Organism: Homo sapiens; assembly: GCF_000001405.40. NCBI lineage: Eukaryota > Metazoa > Chordata > Mammalia > Primates > Hominidae > Homo > Homo sapiens. The sequence continues at coordinate 150,199,747 of NC_000002.12, forward strand.
GAAACCTCTTGATTGTAACATCTGCCAACATACTTTCTACAGCTTCTTTGAAGAACTGAGACAATTATGCTAAAATCATGTTTAAAATCATATTCGCTTTAAAGAGAAAATGAAGTGTGGTTTAAAATTTTGAAACATCTAGATACTTATCACATATTTTGCCCTGAATTTTCATGGACAAAGCTAAAGGAATTATATAAAAGCTTCAAAAAGTAAAAGATGAGATTTACCTGTTTCTATGATGCCTGTCTCCATGGTTCCCGGTTAAAAGGACACATGCATGACCCAGAAGGTCTTTCACCTCTTATTTTTGCCAGTGGTGGTAAATAAGCTTTATACAGTTTAAATCAGACATCTTGTTTGAATCTTACATTTTCAAAACAATTATTTCTTCATACTGTGCTCCTTGAGAAATAGGAACATTATTCTATTCATGACATATGCTTATTTCTACACCACTGATTCACAATGGCCCATCTCATTTCTTCTCCTGCCCACCATAATGTGTCTAAATTACATCAAAGAGAGTATATAATAGTGATTATAAATCAACATATAATAGTGATAGAAATATCATCCCTTTAAAGAATAGCACTCATTTAAGAGTTCTTATTTTACCACCGATTAATTTTTTTGCCATTAAATCAAAAACCCATCTTTCACTTCAACTGTACATATGTGTTTTGAGCCATGGTTAGTCATATGTGTGAAAGTAAACATTGAACAGTGAAAATTCAAGGAGACAACACATTAACATTAAAAAAAATTTCAGTAGAATGAATCAAAAGAAAATGTTAGTAATAACAATAACAGTACCCTTACTACAGAAGATTGACCAATTAATTTTATTTAAAGCTAGAATCAGGAGAAATCCTAGTTCTACTCTGTTATTATAATAGTCCTGAAGTAAAATAAAAGTAAAAGTAAAATAAAAGTTTGCACAAAAGCACTTACTAAGCACCAGGTACTATTTTAAGAGCTTTACACATATTACCTTATTTAATCTTGATATATACCCTATGAAATAGGTTGTTAGCCCCATTTTTACCACAGGAGGAAAATGAGACTCAGCAATATTAAGGAGTTTGCCCAAAGTTACACGGCTAGTACATGTTGGAGGGTGAACATGAACAGAAGCTGTCTGGCTCCAGATTCTGTGTGTTTTGTTTTGTTTTGAGATGGAGTCTCGCTCTGTCACCCAGGCTGGAGTGCAGTGGTGCCATCTCAGTTCACTGCAACCTCTGCCTCCCAGGTTCAAGTGATTCTTGTGCCTCAGCCTCCTGAGTAGCTGGGACCAAAGACTCGAGCTCAGAGTTCAACACCAGCCCCCGGGCAACATGGTGAAACCCCCATATCTCCCCAAAACACAAAAATTAGCACAACCACCCCTGGCTAATTTTTGTATTTTGGGGAGAGATGGGGTTTCACCAAGTTGCCCAGGCTGGTCTTGAGCTCCTGAACTCAAGAGATCCACCCGCCTCAGCCTCCCAAAGTGCTGGGACTATAAGCATGAGCCACTGCACCCAGCCCAAGTTGTGTGTTTTTAATCACCACGCTGCTGCAGTGCAGGATAACCATGATGCAATCAACAAGGAGAAAAAGAAGGTAAAATTAAAAATCAGTGGCAGAAAATTGATCCATGCCTGAAGTATATTTCTTATGGTATTTTTGGTCACTTCCCCCTTCCCCTGACAATAGTAATTCTAGGCCCCACCCATATTTTCAGCCATTGATTTCCCCCAATTTGTTCTTGCTTCTTATGCTTAGTTCTTCACATCCCAACAAAGTTCATCTCAGAGAAATCAAACTACCGCAAATAATTGTCTTCTGGACAGAGCCTATGAGACACATTGTGGTCAATCAAAAGAAAAATAAATTTTTAAATTTTTGATTCTATTTTCAGGGAAATTGGGGCTTGTAATACTTGAAAAAAAAAGGTCATTTTTTTTTTCTTATCTGAAAATCATGCAGGGCTCTTTGTAATCTTAATGAGGTGAATGATCAGCTAAGAAAAGTCCCGCAGGTGGGTGAACATGCAATTTATTGTCTTAAGTAGTACACTTCGTGTGTAATAGGCTGTCCTATTAACATTTATGCTGGAACAACAGACATAAAATGGGACTCTGCTGGACAAGCTGAGACATTAGATTATCTGGACTTTGGAGGTTGAAGAGAGGCAGGAAGAAGGTTGAAGTAGGGGAAAACATATGACTTTCTCCTGATGTTGGAGACGTTTCCATCTATATTAGATATGCTTGCATTGGCTTTCAGATTTGTTAATTACCAAGGTTCATAATTTCTAAATGTATTTATTATTGTTGCTATTATCATTTCATTGATAGAGAAATTACTATAGGACTGGCAGTGTGCTGAGGACTTAATTTGTATTGTTTTCATTTATACCTCACAACAATCTCATTAGGTAGGTACTATGATTATAGTTATTTTGGAAATGAAACGTAAAAGAAAAGTGATTTGGCCAGGGTCACACAGCTTGTAAATGGCAGAACCAAGACTTGCATACTAACACCCTTGATTGTAAATACAAAACCCACTGTATTATATGCATCTCAAAGTATTTGGCCCTAGAATACTTTTAAAAATATAACATATTGATTTTCTCCACCAAGAGCTTCTGATATACAATTTGCCTTAAATTAAAGTATACTCCAACTATTGTCTCATAGATAAATTTATTACTATAAGAGAAAATATTTGGAGTTTATATGACTAAAATAGTAAAATATTGACCAAAATTGCAAACACACATTCAAATAAAAAGACAGGCTACATGACTTGTGATGATTCACAGACAACATGCTCTGGAGTGATTGGCCCCAAAATGCTGATTTGCATTACATGTACTCCTTTCTTAAAGTCAAACTATTCTATAAAGTTAAGAATTATATATAGGTGGTTATATATATAATACCTAGTATGGTCTAAATGTTTGTGTCTCCCAGAAGTTCGTACGCTAGAATCTAACCCCCAATGTCTTGGTATTAGGAAGTGGGGCATTTGAGAAGTAAATAGGTCATGAGAGTGGAATCCTTGTAAATGGGATTAGTGCCCTTATCAAAGAAGCCCAAGGGAACTGCCTGCCCTTCCATGATGTGAGGACACAGCAAGAAGGCACCATCTTGAAGCACAGAGAGCAAACCCTCACCAGACACTGAATCTGCTGGTGCCTCAACTGTGAGCAATAAACTTCTGTTGTTTATAAATTACCCAGTCTAGGGTAATTTGCAATAGCAACAGAAACAGACTTATATGGTGCTCCCTATGTATGAGTCACTGTTCTAAGTCCTATACTTAAATTAATTTCATCTATCCGCACAGCCAACCTGAGATTAAAAAAAAAAAACTATCATAGTCCTCATTTTGTAGATGAGGAAGCTCATGCACAGAGATGTGAAATAACCCACCAAAGCTAGTGAGTAAGAGAGCCAAGATTCAGATGCAGGCCATCTGGGTCCAAATCAGTGCTGGAAATGACTATTTCACATGGGCTTGTGAACAGTATTTTTCATGTGCTTGTTCTGTGTGTATATCAGCAGACATCATAGATATGAGATACTTGTTAAAAATCTTCTAAAATACATTTTTGTTCCATTTTATTTGGTTTCCAAGATACCTATGAACATTTCTTAAAATATGTGGAACTTAAAAGTGGGTATCATATGTGAGGGGCATGAAGATGAGTAGAGCTTTTCCCAGTGATACATAAGATGAGACCAAGAATGAGAGTCTGAACTTCATATGTAAGCAAATAAAAGATTTTTTAGAATTCAAATGCATAAACAAGCATGTGATTCCCTCTAGTCCTATAATACACATTGTGCCACTGCCAAGTGAGTTTTCAATCTGAGTTTTTGCTTTGTTGTTCTTGTTTCTAGTGGTATTCTTCCTTGTGTTTTATGTGATTGGCTTTGGTTGCCTTGATTACATTACTTGGATCCTTACTTAAAGTGCGATTTGTGGAGCAGCAGCAGCAGTAACATTTCCTGAGTGCTTATTAGAAATGCAGCCGGGCCTCTGGTTCACAGCTGTAATCACAGCACTTTGGGAGGCTGAGGTGGGTGGATCACTTGAGGCCAGGAGTTTGAGACCAGCCTGGCCAACATGGCAAAACCCAGTCTAATAAAAATACAAAAATTAGCTGTGCATGGTGATGCATGCCTGTAGTCATGCTTGTGGTCCCAGCTACATAGGAGGCTGAGGCAGGAGACTCGCTTGAACCCAGAAGGCAGAGGTTTCAGTGAACCGAGATTTCATCACTGTACTCCAGCCTGGGTGACAGAGTGAGACTCTGAAAAAAAAAAAAAAAAACAGGAAGGAAGGAAGGAGGAAGGAAGGAAGAGAGAGAGAGGGAGGGAGGGAGGAAGGAAGGAAGAGAGAGAGAGGGAGGGAGGGAGGAAGGAAGGAAGGGAGGAAGGGAGGAAGGAAGGAAGGAGAAAGAAGAAAGAGAGAGGAAGGAAGGAAGGAAGGAGGGAGGGAGGGAGGGAGCGAGGGAAGGAAGGAGAACCACAGGTCCCACCCCACAGCTCCTACTGACTTGGAATCTGCACTCTGACAAGATCCTCAATGATTCTTAAGCACATTAATGTGTGAGCCCTGTTGTACAAAACCATGCTAAAATCCTTCACTAAGGAGAAACTGTCTCATTTTAATATTTTTTGAACTATTATAATCAAATAGAGGAAAGGTCAAACCAAGTCATCTCTCTGTAGTGGGGGCAGGAAGGATGGCTAGATAAGGAGGAATAAACAGTGCTCTGTTTCTTGCCTGCTCTTCCACCAAAGAGGAAGATTTCCCCTACTGCCACCCACACACACAGTCAACTCATCATACACGTACACAACCACGTAGAGTTGTGCAATCCATAATGTTTGTCATGCAGGGCAAGTTCTTCACTCAGGAGAGAATTCAAGAGTGAGCCAGTGGCTGAAGAAAGCAGCTTTTTTAAGGCATGGGCAGTGTTACAGCTCTGTGACTGCTTCTGCAGAGCAGGGTTACCTCATAGGCAGTGCACTGAGAGGAGCAGCATTACGGCATTTGCAGTCATAAACCCACTTTAAATGACATTCTAATGAAGGGATGGGTTATTCAGAAATAGCTAGAAAATGAGAGGTGGCTTCCAGGTGTTGCCATGGCAAGGGGCATTAACTTTCATGCATTGCCATGGCACTGGTAAACTGTCATGGCACTGGTGGTAGTGTCTTAGGGGGATGGGCAGCAAGAAGTGCTTTGGGCCCCTCTTCCAAGTTTTGGCCAGTCTTCACTCTGGTCCTGAGACTAGTCCTGCCTGCCTCCTACCTCATTTGTATCCAGAACAGTGCAATAGAGGACATTAAATCTCAGAACAGGAGCCTGTAATTCTGTGTTAGTAAAAGGGAGTTCTGTTTGTTTATTTACCCAATTAACCTGTAGTAAGAAACTTGTGGGCAACAAACCTTTATCCTGCACCTACGATCTGTAAAGTGTGGAAAGAATATGTAACTGATGGAGTTGTTGTGAAGATTAAATTGGATATTTGTTAACTGTATAGCCCAGTGTCTGAAAAAGTAGGTCACATGTCCCAAAGGATTCAAAACAGGAAAGTGTAGTAGGGTATAAAGTTATTGAGTGTCTACTATATGCTTCATATATGCAGTCTCCTTAAATCCTCATAATTAGTTGATGAAGCCTTTATGTCCACTTAACAGATTAGGAAACTGAGGCACTGAAAGGTAAATATAATTGCCCACAGTCTCACAGTAAGTTGAGGTGTCCAGTTTCAACTTTGGTTGGCTGTCTGTCTTCTACCCAGTGCTCTAGCTATTACCCAAAACTAGAGGGGTACAAGAAAGTAGGCAACAGGGGCTGGGCACGGTGGCTCACACCTATAATCCCAGCACTCTGGGAGGCCGAGGCGGGCGGATCACGAGATCAGGAGATGGAGACCACCCTGGCTAACACAGTGAAACCCCGTCTCTACGAAAAATAAAAAAATAGCCTGATATGGTGGCACGTGCCTGTAGTCCCAACTACTTGGGAGGCTGAGGCAGGAGAATTGCTTGAACCCAGGAGGCGGAGGTTGCGGTGAGCTGAGATTGTGCCACTGCACTCCAGCCTGGGCGACAGAGCGAGACTCTGTCTCAAAAAAAAAAAAAAAAAAAAAAAAAAAAGTAGGCAGCAGGTCTCATCAAAGCTGAATACCTCTGTCTTATCTTTCTGTTTTGCTTTAACTTAATGACAATTGTTTCTAAATTGTACTTCTGGTAAATTATTTACTATAGACAGAATCTTCTACTTAAATGAACAGAAAATAAGTAAAAGGCCATGTTTTTGCCATGAGGGAGTTTACAGTTTATCTCAGCAGAAAAGATAAATCCAAACATAAAAGCAAAGAAGAATTAGACTTGAGCCAGGTCCTTGACTATTAGCACAGAGAGATTCAGAAAACAGGTCATCTGAGTTGTTGTGTTCATCTGAGAACTCTTTGAAATGAAGTGGACATTGAGATAAGATCTAGAAAGATTTCTTACTCAGGTGTAAGCATCATTGAGTTGATATTGAGTTAATATCCTAGAACTTTATTCGCATACTCTTGAGAGGCTTGTTTATTTGTGCTTCCAAGTAAGCATACATTTGGACAAGGATTTCATGGCTAAAATATTTTGAAATAAATATTTTAATTTCGTTTTTAATAAAGGTAGGCTGCTAAGGTAATAGATGGGGGTGAGGTGGTGTTTGTAGCAGGTGGAGAGAAAATGGGGTGCTGAAACGGTGTAGAGAAGATGCCATAGGGAAACCTAATTCCCTTCAAAATGTGACCTAGGACTGGCCATGATCAGCATTAAGAATGTGGGTCAATCTGTCACAAATGTGGAAAATTCAAAATGACAGACTTTTCTAAGTAGAATGTTCATTAAGAAAATTGTTTGGGTCTGGGTACGGTAGCTCACGCCTGTAATCCCAGCACTTTGAGAGGCCGAGGCAGGTGAATCACATGGGGTCAGGAGTTCAAGACCAGCCTGGCCAATATGGAGAAACCCTTTGTCTACTAAAAATACAGAAAAAAAAAAAATTAGCCGGGGGTGGTGGTGGGCCCCTGTAATCTCAGCTACTCGGGAGGGTGAGGCAGGAGAATTGCTTGAACCTGGGAGGTGGAGGTTGCAGTGAGCCGACATCATGCTGCTGCACTCCAGCCTGGGCGACAAGAGCGAGACTCCAACTCAAAAAAAAAAAAAAAAAAAAAAAGAAAGAAAGAAAAAGAAAAAACCAGAAAATTGTTTGGGCAAGAGTGTTGGATCCTTTTAGCTAAATTCAAACTGTGTCCCAGCTGACTTGTCTTCTGCCATCAGGTCCTTTGTTGTGTTGGCAGCCTCACATTGAGCATGTCTGAAATGTCACCAGAGCAGTTCCTTCTGCTGAGTCTTGAGGACAATTAGCCATTGTCATTACCTATAGGTGTTAGTGGTACATTCAGAAGATTTCACATTGCCTGGATGCCTGAAGAACATGTACCTGGAGGAATTCCTAGTATGGTTGCACTTAGCCCCATTTGGGGACCATTAGAACTTAGAATCTTTAAAGTGTCACTCCTGAAAAGGAAAAAAATAAGCATAGACAAGGGATTTCAGAGAAAAGCTACTGAAAGAGCACTGAGGTTGATTGAAATGGTGGTCCACCTGCTTGTGATGCAAGGAAGTATCTTAACTCTATTCATGCAACAAATCTTTATCTTGTACCTACTATGTGCAAAGTGTGGAAAGAATATCTGATAGGATTGTTGTGAAGATTAAATTGGATAATATTCGTTAACTGCATAGCCCAGTGTTTGAAACAGTAGTTGCTCAGCAAATGGTGACTGAGATTAGTGGCAATAATCAAAGGCACACTTCCATATTTTCATTACTAAGCACAATCCATATTTAAATTGAAATAATTGTAGAATACCTACATGCAAAGATGTAGTCTGCACAATTCCCATTTCTAACAGAAAGGACAGGTCAAGTCTCCTTTTCCAGACTTGTAAGAACCAATTTAAACTTTTCAGTATACTGGAATTTTGATGAATTAAATATTGTTCCAATAATAATAATAATGTATTTTTATATAGCTTAAAAAAACATTTTCACATTCATTAACTCAATGAATTATTGCCAGTAGGCTTGGAAATCTCCCTGTTTCATAGAGATTTTGGTATGTAAAATTTTTCTTAAATGAATTTGGGCTGGATCAGAAAGTGAGGTAAAACAATTAAAATATCCAATTTGGGAGAATTCTTGGTAGGTTTCCAGCATGTCGTTCATTTTTGTAATCAAGCTGTTATATGATCTTTTTTTTTCATTATGCATGAGCAAATAGACTCCACTACAGTCAATTTGAAGCAATTATTATCTCTGGCACGATATAATCAAAAGGCTACTGCTATTTGTTGAAGGATTCTTTGTTTGCCAAGATTATTAATCAAGTTATGCCAGGAGCACATACAGTGCTGCTTGGCACTCAGCAGCTGGCCCGAGCAACAGGAAAATAAATCAGAATTCTTGGTGCTTGTATTTTTTAATATTCCTGCCAGTGTGGGTATTGGAGAACATTTCACATTAAATAGCACTAATTGCCTTAATTGGCTTATGGCTAACAGGCCCACTGTACTGCTGGTGTGTAGTCAAAGTCATTGGGTTTACTGGGAGCACTTAGATTCTTACATTTTCAGTGGTTCAGGTGTGACACACAGAGCAAGACAGTTGCAGTGCATGTATGACCCTGGTGTCTTATAGAATAGTGGGGTGTGGTGAAGGTAAGAAGCCCCCCCTGATTAGCCTGGGGTGGCAGCTCTTCACACAATCATTCATAGTAAACAACTCTTTATAGAGAACACATGAAGGTTTATCAGCCAGTCTTGACTAACTCCCAGAACAATCCATGAGAAAGGAAGAGTTCTCACTTGCTTGGAGGGCAGCTGTATTTGCAACTGGTAGAACTCAGCTTTGCTTTTAGGTGTCTAACAATAAGTGTAATAACACTGGCGAAATTTAAATTGCCTTCCTATTTCATCATGTCCCAAATATGTAAATCTTGATCCTGTCTTCATTGCCATTGAGTGTTTTCATTTTATTTTTAGTGAGGTATGTCATCCCAAAGGGCAGCCTCGTGGCTGGGTGAAAATGTGCCCAAGACTGTTCAGCAGACTCAAGAGAGTACAGCCACCCCTGTCTCCGTTAGCTCCTTTGTCAGATTGCAAATGCTAGAAGTTCTGCAGAAAGGGCTTCACCCCTTTAAAATGCAAATGGACCTCACCCATGCACACGCAAAATGGCCATGTAAACTTTCATACATTCACATCTTAATATGCTTGAGTTTAAAATGCTGTAAAGGGACGTGAGGTAAACACTCTAAAGGAGCTCCTAACAAAAAGGGATAATGGACAGGTGTAAATAGGGAAGAGAGCTCAAGATGGGAATCGTTCCCCAAAACCATTACACTCCACTGCTCTCAAGTAGTGAAAGTGTGCTTTATTTACTGATTAATGTAATTAAACCCAAAAAAGCAACTTCTTATTATACCTACACATTTAAGGAATAATTTCACTGCTAAGTGGTATTGAAATCACATGTGGCTAAGGAGGAGCGAAAGTATTAGAATAACAAGGTTTGCCATTTGTAGTGGAAATTAAGCTGAAATTTCAATTCAGGAAGCATTAGAGTCACATCTTATCAAAAGGGGAAAACTCACCATTTTGGGCGTATTTGGTACGTAGACAAAATTTTGAGCCTAAAAGTCATGACTGCGATATGCCAAGTGCTGTTTACACGCTCACTGGAGTAATCGATGCCACCTCGCTGTTTGAAGGACCTGGGGGTCTGGTTTTCCAGAGATGAGGAGGTGGGTTTCAGTCTCAGCCCTACCCCTGCGTGACCTTATCGGGGCCACTCTAGGGAGGGCTCAAGTCTTTTATTCTCTATCTGCCCTGGGAAGGGCCCCATAGCACACAAGAGTAGCTAGGTAGAGATCACTCAAATTTGGAGATTTTTACTAACATAAGAAAGGGTAGAAAGGAAAAATGAAGCCACAAAAAACCCTTAAGTGATAGAGCAGTTCAGTCTGTTTCTCCTTTTCTCTGATGTTATTACATCTGAAATTTATAATCACTTCTTATCCATACTTGTGAGCAATTAAGAGCATCTGCCAAGAAAAGAAAGGAAAAACTGAAAGTGAGTAATGGAATTGATGGCAAAGCAGGGAGTTGTTCGTGTTTCTTAAGTTGTAGGTTTATTAGGAACACATTCTTAACGATTAAAAGCAGTGGTTATTTTCATCTTATGTTCAAGTTTTAACCTATTAAAAGTAAAACATAGGTAGACCTATTTTTTTCTATCCCAGATGAAAGGCCTCCTCATTACAGTTTTCAATGCCAATCTGTTTGAAAACTAGCACAAAATAAATGCATTCTGAAGAAAACTATTTCTAAAGTAATCCTATTACATTTCTACCTCTTTGGATGCTCTGGTAAGTAGAATATCCTTACAAAATGTAAATGTATTCCGTTTTTTATTCTTTCAACAAAAGTCTGTTAGGCAGTCACTATCTGCCAGGTGTTGATCTGGACTCTCAGGATATAAAGAAAATTAAATCCATGACCCATGTCTCTGGGTGGCTCGTTGTTTATTAGGGAAGATCTAATATGTTAAGACGCTTTTGGTTGCAAGCTGCATCTGTAGCTGTCTTCAACAGTGAGGAAGGGCATTGAGATATATTACAGGAAAGCCTGACATAAGGCTGTTCACGGGGAGCTAATCCAGTGGGCATAATGTCATCAAGAGGGTCCTTTCAGACATTCAACTCTGTACAACCCATGGTGTGCCCATTTCATCTTCTGGCTGCTTCTCCTAAGCTCATGGATGTCTGCGGGTAGCATCTATGTTTTCTTGCAGTGGAAGAGACAAATAGCTTCCTTTGGCTCTTAAGAATCATGAAATTCCTTGCCCAAACAGTAAACCATCTTGTATGGATTTCAATAGCTCAGATTGGTTCAGACCTACAATATCTCTGAACCATTCCCAAGTAAGGGGCTGGGATTGCCATCATTGGTTTAGCCTAATCAGGGTCCATCTCTGCAGCAGGGACCCACCAGATTTCCCTGAAGCATACTGGCCATTCAGAGAAGGGTTCTATTAGGCAAGAGGAGGGAAATGGTTCTGGGCTATAATGTTTCCCTCTTTATCTTTTGTAATACTAAAAGCTATTTCAGTAAAGTAGGACTTGAGCAGCTGATGATATGGTTTCTGAAGGATATATTTTCTGCTAGGCTAATGGTTCTTAAACTTGAGAACCTGGAGGGCTTTTTAACATACACTTTTGTTAATTCTCAGGCTGTACCCCAGAGTTTGCTGATTAAAGAGGTCTGAGGTAGAGCCTTGGAATTTGTTTCTAATGCTTGCAAAAATGCTGGTGAGAACCACTGTCTAAGATGTTGCATCTAACAAAGAATTGGCAACCTTTGATTGGCTAAGATTACTATGAGAGTTGGACAAACCTTACTTTAGATTTTAGAAACATTTCTTTTCATGAGTCACAGTTTTTCATTTACTTTATCATTCAGATGCCTGGTTAGCCTTGAAGACATTCTTTCCTCTTTAAGATATGCCCTTGTCAAGTTACACAAAAAAGTCCTCAAACATCTTTTGAAAGTTATTGCTACTGTTAGTCTAACAGTCTTCAAAATTATCTTTAATAGTGTACATGTGAAATGTAAACTTTATTATAGCCAAGTTTTAAGAAAGTTGCAATTCACATTTCTGCAATTGTGAAATATCTGTTATTGTGTAAATGGAGCTCTTCTATTCAAGGGAAAATATAGTACTGAAAACATTGGAAAACTAATGGGATATAAAAAGATCATGATGTATTGACTCTCCACATGTTGAAAACAGTCTGTTTTTTGACACCAAATACAGTAATTTAAACCATCTCTTTAGCCCAGTTTAAATAATGGACATTTGTTTAACTTAAGCAGTAAGATTGGAGATCTCTGTCACTGGAAACTTGCTACATTTTCCAAGACAATTTGAGTTGGCAGTTGAACCACTATGGCCAGGTACTATTCTGAGAACTGTATCTATTTCATTTAATAAATATTTTAAAAAGAAAAAAATCAATAAGAGCTTTTTTTTTTTTCTTTTTAAGAGTCGAAGTCTTTTCTGTTGTCCATGCTGGAGTGCAGTGGCACAATTATAGCTCACTGTGGTCTCAAACTCCTGAGTGTAAACAATCCTCCTGTCTCAGCCTCCCAAGTAGCTGGGACTACAGGCAAGTACCCACCACATCCGGCTAATATTTTTTCTTATTTTTTGTAGAGCAGGTGTCTCTCTCGTTGCCCAGGCTAGTCTCAGACTCATGACCTCAAAGAGTCCTCCCACCTCTGCCTCTCAAAGTGCTGGAATTATAGATGTGAGCCACTGTGCTGGACCAGTGAAAGCTATTTTAAAATGTTTTTATAATTTTGTGCTTCTCTTTTAGTGGCTGCTATGGTCTGAATATTTGTGTACCCCCAGATTCATATGTTGAAATCTCCTCCCCCAATGTTACGATATTAGGAGAGCAGGCTTTGGGAAGGAAATTAAATCATGAAGGTGGAGCTCTTACGCATGGATTAGTCCCCTTGTAAAAGAAGCCCAAGGGAAATTTTTGCCCCTTCCTCCATGCGAGGACACAACAAGAAGATGAACCAGGAAACTGGACCTCACTAGAACCCAGCCATGCCTGACACTCTGGAATCTGGGACTTCCAGTGGGTGGAATGTGAGAAATAAATTTCTCTTGTTTATAAGCCACCCAGTCTGTGGTATTGTAGTTTAGTGGCCTGAACAGACTAAGACAAGGACCTAGAAAAGATTAAGATTCACAGCAAAGATCTTTTAAATATGTCTTTCCTTTGCTTAAGACCTTTCAGTAGCTTCTGCTCACTCACTGCATGAAGATCTAGTTTTCTAATGGCACCAAAACCCCACGTGACTGCCTTACTGGTGGAGCCTAGCCTGGGGCCCCTCTGCCCAGAAAGTTTTGCATCCAGCCGCTGACTTTCCTTCTGGGTCAGGGCAGAATCATGCTCCCTCCCACTGTGGGTTTCTGCACACGCCCTTCCCTCTGTTAGAAAAACTTCCTCACACCACACTTGCTTGATCATCCTATTCACATAGTCCACATCTTCACATCTGGACTCAAATCTCACTTTCTCAGGAAAAACTTGCTCTGTCACTAAGATTTGTGGAATGAATACATGAACACAAACATTTAAGAGCCTATTATAAGACAGGCATGTGCAATATGATACTTAATCCTTCTGTCCAGTAATCAGCCAGCTAAAGGCAGCTGCTGCTTCAAACGTGAGAACTATAATTTGCTCAATATTGTGCTGGAATGGTGCTGAATATGGGACCTCATATGCTTCTAGTAAGCAAAGAAGAATGTTTTCTATTTCTACAAAGAAAACAGGATTATCACACACTGTCTGCCTTGATTATATATGGTCTAGTATTATCTAGTAGAAGGTATGTTTTGTTTCTCCATACCTTGGTGAGGCATTAAATTGGCCTCACCGAGAAATAGTATTAATTTGAGTAGTGCAACAGAAGCTCCCTTGGAAAATCCAAGTAAGAGTTTCTCTGCCCATAAATGCTGATAGGAAAAGCAGTTAGTTCTTTTCTTTCTTTCCTGCTCAATGCTTGACCCTCTATTGAACTTAATAAAACATAATAATGCATATGAAAATGTTTTAATGTAAAAAGCACAAAATAATTGTACGGTGCTATTTTTATAAATAAATGCTTGATGAAGGACTTAAAATGATGCTTAAGGAATATCCAGAGATTTTTCTAAACTCTGTGTAGAGCAGGAAATTTGAATTTTTACAGAAAAGAATGACTATGATTCATTAAGAAAAACAACTAATTTAAGACCCACAACTTAGATTACATTCAGTGAAAATGGCTCCAAATTTAATGTGAAATTAATTTTTTTAAAGAATAACTTCTATAACATTCAGGAGAAGCCTGAATTTAAGACATCCCCCTTTCTCTCAGCTAGGCCATGACATTCAGTCTCTCCATTTTCATTGCATGGTATATATTTTACATCCATATCTTAATTGAACCTTTGTCAAGGACAGTCTTCTACCCAGAGGAGATGGCCATGCTCAACATCATGGCTTAGACTTGAAATCTGAAATTGCATGTATTCTTAGGATGCTAAACCATTTCGGGGTTTTATTTTAGCTCGTAGTCTTCTAAGGCATAACCACTAAGATGTGGTTTAAAGAAACATTGCACAAAGTTAAAAGAAAAACAAATTTAAAGATAAAATTTCAACAGAGTTCTTGGAATTTTGGAGATGTAGTAAACATTCAGAGCAAGGCTAAAAATTATACCATGTTTGTGAGATTTAGATGAATCTAAAACTGCAGGTTTTCTAGAAGTTTGCCTACAAACTCTAATGTGCTATATCTTTTCCTATAAACAAAGCAAGTAAAGCTTAAATTACAAATCCATGTAAAGTTTCTAGAATTTTTCTTTTAAGACAGCTTTTTGTTATTTCTTTTTCAGCCTGCTGTACTGCCACTGCCCAATATATAATATTTCAGGAAACATTGCTTTATGAAGGGCTCCATAACAGTTAATGAAGGTAAGTCTGTATGGCATGTTATTGTAATGAATTTTCTGGTGAAAATTAATTAGATGTGTGAATGTGTGAATGCTAACATTTATTTACATCCCAGTCTAAATGTTCAAAGAGGTGTCTGTTATGCACACAATTAGAAGCAATGATGCATTAAATTGGCCTCACCAAGAAATAGTATTAATTTTAATAGTGCAATGGATGCCCCTTGGAAAATCCAAGATAAGATTTTCTCTGCCCAGTTGCCTGCTTTTGAGACTCCTTGTCTGACTAAGTCACTTATTTACATAAAAGTTGGTGGGAAATTGAGGATGGAAGGGGAAAGTGCATTTCCTATTTCACATCATAAGGCTGGCTAATGTCTCATTAACCTATGGACTTGCTCCCAATTCCTTTTGATTTGCACTGTGCAAACAGTATCTAACAACTCCTTTTGCAAACAGTCAATGACCTTTTAAACCAGGGAGGGAATTCCTCACAGCTGGGAGCCCTCTGTTTCTGTGTTCTTTTTAGAAGTGTTACTTTCCTTAAACTATAAAGAAACAACAACAGTCCTTCCTCATTCCCCGGATTTCTCTTAGTTTCAGGTAAGTTCTTGGTAGACAGGAACCACACAACCCTAAGATGAGCAGTAGAGACTTCCTTGCTAGCTCAAGCACCATTCTAATATTCTGGGATTATTTTTAATTTACACTGGGAGTTCACTGGGCTGCCTTTTAGTCATATATTTAGGTTTGAATATTTTAGTATTCTAGTGCTTCCTTATGTCACACTATATATAAACTAGTAAGAATAATGACTACCATCTATTGAATCCTAACCATGTGTGAAGCACTGGGCTAGTATATTACATGGACTGTCTAATTTAATTGTCTCACAAATGCTATGCATGCATAGGCTTTATTTACATCTCCATTTCATGGGAGTGAAAAGTGGTGCTCAAAGGCTAAATAACTTAACAGTTGGTAAGTGTTCGAACTAACTGGGATTTGAACCAATGTTTGTTTGTCCAGTATGCCAATCAGCCAATGCTAAATGTTTAGGTGCAGTTTGCATTATAATCTTTAACCACATTGGCTGATTAAATAATAGTTCTTTTGTGATTTTCTATAATGAATATCTTATTGAATCCTCTAAATAAATTTCACGTATGTATAATACAAAAAATCCCAAGAGATATTGAATAATAAAAATATTGGCCGGGCGCGGTGGCTCACGCCTGTAATCCCAGCACTTTGGGAGGCCGAGACAGGTGGATCACGAGGCCAGGAGATAGAGACCTTCCTGGCTAACATGGTGAAACCTGTCTTTACTAAAAATACAAAATAATTAGCTGAGCGTGGTGGCGGGCTCCTGTAGTCCCAGCTACTCGGGAGGCTGAGGCAGGAGAATGGCGTGAACCTGGGAGGCGGAGCTTGCAGTGAGCCGAGATCGTGCCACTGCACTCCAGCCTGGGCGAGAGAGTGAGACTCCATCTCAAAAAAAAAAAAAAAAAACAAAAAACACCACAATTACATATTGTGTTGCACACAGGAAATAAAGATTGTGATAGTTTGCAGCCTTATAAGTTTGCAAACTCCCTCTAAATTAAAAAAAACACTAAATTATACATTTTGTGTAAAGTAATTGCTCATGTAACGAGCCCCCCACGCCATGCTTAACCCAAATGTCCTATTCTCCAGAACTGACAGCTTCACAGAAAGAAAGACAGCAGTTAATGAACTCAATAACAAGGCTGAGTTAGAGTATGTACTAGTCTAAGAGAAACTTCCGAGTCAAGTAACATATTTCAGTAAATAAAAAATGATTTCAGACAGCTCCAAATTCTAGATAAAACTGTTTTGCCTCAGAAAAACATTTCTGGAAGAAAAATGGCAAATTTCATCATCCCTAAAAGTGTGAACACAGTCAACACTTACAGCCTACACCTACCTGAACTTTAGTTCTTGTAAAGCCAGTGAGAATTTGACATCACCTCAGGGCAATGAGGATGAAACTCTATTATGAATGTGTAGGACTAACTGAGGACCTCATCACCACATTTCTGTCTAGTCTGTTATCCACAGGACTGAAGAATTTGATCAGTATTCTCCTCAATTTCCCGTATAGGAAAAAGACAGAGAAAGGATAAGAAACATGTGAATTTGTATTCTGAAAGCAGAATAGAAAGGAAAAGTACATCTTATTAAGACCTTGGCAAGTGGCAAGTACTATAACGTTGAGGTCAAATCTTCCTTGTTTACAAATGTAATTCTATGGCAAAGCTATTATAAACTGTCTTATGGTTTCAACCTCATGTAGGTTAATTTTACATCAACACACATAAAATTTAAAGCTAAAGGAAAATTGCCAAATAATTCCAGGATCTAACTTTATTTGTCCAGTAAATATTGTTAATCACCTACGGCTAAGCATTGCGGTGGGATTGGAGGTGGGGAAGTAAGTAAAATAAGTAAAACCTTCTCTCACTTTAATTGCATCTGT